>NT_187383.1:90861-247134 GCF_000001405.40 Homo sapiens | reverse complement strand
GAATTCCATCAGACTAGCAGCAGACCTCTCAGCAGACTCCTTGCAACCAGAAGAGGTTAGGGGCCTATCTGCAGAGTTTTTAAAGGAAAAAAAATTAACCAATAATTTTATATCCCTCTAAACTAAGCTTCATAGGTGAAAGAGGAAAAAAAAAATTCCTTTGACAAGCAAATGCTGACGTGATACATTTAAACTAGACCAGCCTTACAAGAGGTCTTTAAGGTAGTGCTAAACATGGATTCAAGTGAATGATATCTGCTACCAAAAAAGCTCACTTAAGCACATAGCCCACAGGCACTATAAAGCAATAATGCAATCAACTCTACATAACAACCAGCTAACAACATGATGGTGAATTCAAAATCACACATATCAATACTCACCTAACATGTAAGTAAGCTAAACACCACAGTTAAAAGACACAAAGTGGCATCCTGGATAAAAAGACAGTACCCATCCATCTGTTGCTTTCAAGACACACCCTTTGCCTCAGAGTAAAAGGGTGGAGTGTATTCTACCATGCAAACGAAACAAAAACAAGCAGCAGTCACTATTCTTATATTAGATAAAACAAATTTAAACCAAAAAAAAAAAAAAAAACACTAAGAGGGACAAGAAGAGCATTTTGATAAAGGGTGCAATCTAACAAGAAGCCTTAACTATCTTAAATATATATGTGATTACCACTGGAGCATCCAAATTCATAAAATGACTTCTTCTTTGCCTACCAATGAAAAGAAGAATAACAAGGGCATATTGATAAAGGATAAAATCCTGTGAGAAGCCTTAAATATCTTAAATATATATACACTTAATATTGGAGCACCCAGATTTACAAAATGACTTTTTCTTTCCCCACAAAAAGGCTTAGACAACATCACAATAGTAGTAAGAGACTTCAACACCCTACTTACAGCATTAGACATATCACTGAGGCCAAAAAAAAAAAAAACTAACAGGAAAACTCTGGAGTTAAACTCCACACTTGACCAATTGGACCTAATAGACATCTATTGAAAACTCCATCGAACAACCACAGAATGTACATTTTTCTCATCTGCACAAAAAAAAATTCTAAGTTCAACCACGTGCTCAGTGATAAATAAAGCCTGAATAGATTAAGGAAAAATGAAATCTCACCAAGCACACTGTTGGAGCACAGTACAATAAAAAATACAAATGCATACCAAGATCTCTCAAAACTACAGAAATACATGAAAATTAAACAACTTACTCCTGAATAAATCCTTTGTAAACATCAAAGTAAGGCAGAAATATAAAAATTACTTGAAATTGATAGAAATAGGAACACAACTTACCAAAATTTCTAAGATGCAGCCAAAGCAGTGTTAAGAGGAAACTTTATAGCCCTAAATGCCTTTATCAAGAAGTTAGAAATGTCTCAAATTAACGATGTAACTTTGCACCTAAAGGAACTTGAAAAAAAGAACCAACCAACCCCAAAGCTAGCATGAGAGAAGACATAACAGCAATTAGAGAAGAATTTAATGAAGTTGAGATGCAAAAATGTATACAACAGTCCAAGAAAACAAAAAATTGGTTCTTCAAAAAAAATTGATAAGCTCCTAGCCAAATTAACAAATATAAAAAAGAAAGAGAAGATCCAAATAAGCGCAATAAAAATGACAGGTTATATTAAAATGGATCAGATAGAGATACAAAAGATCCTCAGCGAGTACTATGAACAGCTCTGCACGCAAATTAGAAAATCTGGAGAAAATGAATAAATTCCAGGAAGCACACAGTCTCCCAAGATGGAATCAGAAAGAGATCAAAACTCTAAGTAGACTAATATCAACTTCTGACATTGAGTCAGTACTAAAGAACCTACCAACAACAACAACAACAACAAAAAGGCCTGAAACAGGTAGATTGGCTGCTGAGTTTTACCAGACATACTAAGAAGAAATGATATCAATCCTACTAAAATTATTTCAAAATATCGAGGCGGTGGGGCTCCTTCCTAACTCATTCTTTGAAACCAGCAGTAGCATGATATGAAAATCTGGCAGAGACACTGTGAAAAAACAAAACTTCAGACCAAGATCCCTCATGAACAGAAAATGTAAAAATCCTCAACAAAATACTAGCAAACCAAATTCAGCACCACATCAGAAAGGTAATACACCATGGTCAAGTAGGCTTTATTCCTGGGATGCAAGCTGGTTCAACATATGCAAACCAATAAATGTGATTCACCAGCTAAATAGAATCAAAAGTAAAAACCATATGATTTTCTAAACAGATACACAAAGGTCTTCTTAATAAAATCCAACACTACTTCATGGTAAAAATCCTCAATAGACTAGGCATCCAAGGAACATACCTTAAAATAATAAGAGTCATCTATGGGAAACCCACAGTCAACATCATACTCAATAGGTTAAAAACTTAAAACTATTTCTATGAGAACTGAAACAAGACAAGGATGCTCACTCACAGCACTCCTATTCAGCTTAGTACTGGAAGTCCTATGCAGAGCAATCAGGCAAGAGAAAGAAAAAGTAACGAAACAGGAAAAGAAGTCAAACTATCTCTCTTCGCTGAAAATATGATCCTATGCCTAGAAAATCCTAGAGATTCTGCCAGAAGGCTCCTAGAATTAATAACTTTAGTATAGTCTCAGGATACAAAATCAGTGTAAACAGTACTGATTATGGTGAAATAAGTAGCATTTCCATACACCAACAATGTCCAGGCCAAGAGTGAAATCAAGAACACAATTCCACTTAAAATAGCCACAAAAAAGAGAAATACCTAGGAATACAGATAACCAAGGAAATGAAAGATCTCTTCAAGGAGAACTACAAAACACTGCTGAAAGTCACACACCTACAACCATATGATATTTGACAAGGCTGGCAAGAACAAGCAATGGGGAAAGGACTCCCTAGTCAATACATTCTGGGATAACTGGCTTGCCATAGGCAGAAGATTGAACCTAGACCTTTACCTTGCAACATGCCCCAAAATTAAATTTAAATGGATTAAAAATTTAAGTGTAAGACCTCAAACTATAAAAATTCTGGAAGATAACCTAGGAAATATTTTTTTGACATCAGCCTTGGCAAGTCGTTTTTGGCTAAGTCCCCAAAAGCAATTGCAACCAAAACAAAAATAGACAAGTAGGACTTAATTTGACTAAATAGCTTCTGCACAGCAAAATAAACTATCAACAGGGGAAAGAGGCATCCTCCAGAATGGGAGGAGATATTCACAAACTATGAGTCTAACAAAAGCCTAATATCCAGACTCCATAGGGAACTCAAATCAACAAGCCAAAAAAAAAAAACCATTAAAAAATAAAAAATGGGCAAATGAGATGAACAGATATGCCTGAACAGAAGATATACAAGTGGCCAACAAACATGAAAAATTGCTCAGCATCAGTAATTATCAGATAAATGCAAATCAGAACCACAATGAGGTACCATCTCATGTTAGTCAGAATGGCTATTACTAAAAAGTCAATAAATAACATGTTGGCAAGGCTGTGCAGAAAAGGAAACACTTTACGTCACTGGCAGGATTGTAAATTAGTTCAGCAATCGTGGAGAGCAGTCTCGAGATTTCTGAAAGAACTTAAAACAGAACTACCAATTTACCCAGCAATCCTACAACTGGGTATATACCCAAAAGAAAATAAATCATTCTACCAAAAAGACATATGCACTTGAATGCATCACTGTGCTATTCACAATAGCAAAGATGTGGGATCAATCCAGATGCCCATCAATGGTATATTGGATAAAGAAAACCTGGTATGTATACACCATGGAATACTACACAGCTGTGAAATATAATGAAATCATGTCCTTGGTATGAACATAGGTGGAACCAGAGGCCATAATTTCAAGCAAATTAATGCAGAAACAGAAAGCCAAATACTGCATGTTCTTACTTATAAGAGCTAAACATTGAGCATATATGGACATAAATATGGGAACAGTAAACACGGTGGACTACTAAAGTGTGCAGAGGGGAGGGCAAGTTAATATACTACATATTGGTTGCTGTGCTCACTACCTATGTGCTCCAAACCTGAGCATTATACAATATTCCTACATAACAAATCTGTGCCTGTAACCCCTGAATCTAAAATAAAAGTTGAAATTTTTTAAAAAGTCTTTTCACCTATGAACAGAAGATACTGTTCCATTTATTTGTACCTTTGATTTCTTACAGCAGCATTTTGAAAGTTTTTATTGTACAAATAGTTTGTCATCCTGGTTAAATTGATTCCAGAGCATTTTATTCTTTTTAATACTGTTGTTCATGGTATTGTTTTCTTAATTTCCTTTTCAGATTAATCATTATTGGTGTGCATCAATGCAACTGAGTTTTGTAAGTTAATTTTGTATCCTGCAACATTACTTAATTTGTTTAAACTGTTTTGAGGTGTTTTTCTGTTTGTACAATCTTCAGAATTGTGTGCATACATGATTACTGTGAACAGAGATATTTCTATTTTATTCTTTTTAACATATGCATTTTTGTCTTTATTTTATTTTTGTTATTGCTTAAGCTAAAGTTTTATATACTCTGTTGAGTGGAAGTGGTAAAAAAGAGGAACTATTTTTAGTTCCTGATATTAAGGGAAAACATTTTTTGTATTTCACTGTTGATTATGTTGTGTGTTTGTACCATGAATGAGTAATATCTTGTAGAATGCTTTTTCTGTGTAAATTGAGATATTGTGGTGTTTAACAGTACTAATGCGGTATATTATGATTATTTGTTTATTTATTTATTATTTATTTATTTTTAGAGACAGGATATTATGATGTTGTTTAGACTGCTCTTGAACTCCTGGACTGAAGTGAACCTATCACCTTAGCATCCTGGGTAACTGGGATTACAGGCACAAGCCACTGTGCCTGGCTACATTTATTGATATTTATATGTTAAAGCATCTTTGCACTTCAGTAATAACTCTCAATTAGTCTTGGTAGATAACCCTCTTATTATTCTGCTAAATATATTTTGCTAATATTTATTTTATAGATTTTATATTATTTATAAAGAACATTTTTCTTCAACTTTCTTTTCTTGTAGTGCTTTTGTTCATTTTTTATGTCACTGTAATTTTGGCCTACCTCATAGAATAAATTTGGAAGTGTTTCTGCATCTTCAGGTTTTTGCAAGAGTTTGAGGATAATTGGTAATTAATTCTTAAAATGTTTGATAGATTCAGCAGCATAACAGTTTTGTACTTTTTTTTCTGGAGGGGTGATTTTTGCATCAATCTGCAACTATAGGTCTGTTCAGATTTTCTATTTGTTCATGACTCAGTGTCAGTACATTGTGTATTTCTACATATACATGTGTCGACTTTATCAACATTATTCAATTTCCTTGTGGTCTCTTAGAGACTTATTTAACAAGATCTGAGGCATACAGTTCTTTCAGTTGTATTCTGCTACCATGTATTTATTCTGCTGTTGATGTAGTGGTTATGTGAGAGCTTAGGCAAAGCACTCTATTGACTTATGCATTAGCCTCATTAAAACAAATCAAAACAAAACAGTGTATCCCTAGGCTGTGAATTTCATGAGGACTTCTCACTCTTTACCTCTCTTAACTGGATCAAGAAGGTTAGAGGGGGATGGAATTGGGCATTTCTCTTACTCCAGGAAGTCTGGCTCTGGTAAAATCTCAGTTGGTTAGGCTTTTGATACATAGTTTATATTGAAGATAGGAATGTTAAAAAGAAAATTTTCTGGGAATAGTTAAAAATGGCTACATTTCCCTTCCTCCTACTGGAATCAAGAAGCATTTTTTCTATCATCTTCCCTGTAAAAGCCATGTCATGTTTCTGAAAGTAAAGTTCATAAATTTGTATACCCTGAAAATGTTAATTCTCAAACTTTTAGCCATTCATCAATAATGGTTTGTTTTCTTACAACTGTATTTGTTCCCATAGGGGTTTCTTGTGGTTTACTAACCAAGTAAGTTATAATTCTCTGGATGTGTGTGTCCTTCTGTCCAATTTGGGATGGTGATTTGCCCTGTGAACTTATTTTTCTGATAGATGTTAGGAGAATTGCTGGCCTATGTTTCCCTTTTTACTTTCGCTGATGCGAATGTCACCTTCTACGTCCTTACTTGCCAGGCTGACCAAAAGGAACTATCTTCATTTTTTGATGGTTGTCTCTATTTTTAATCCTAAACCGTGTGTGTGTGTGTGTGTGTGTGTGTGTGTGTGTGTGTGTGTGTGTGTGTGTATAAAATAATACAGTAAGAGGAAACCTGGGTGGTCCCTTTTCTGGTACCAGCAGCAGATTGAAACCATTCAAACCCCTGTCCATGGGAATAAATTCTCACCCTAGCATGCCACCTACCCTCAATAAAAATCCAGGCCTGGCTCCTTTTCTTGCACATTCAAGCCATGTCAGATCACCTTGAAAGGCCTTCCTACTTACCTCACAAATGTAATTTATGTGAGTAGTAATTTCTTACCCTCTTAAAGCCACATCTTTGCAAGTGACTAACAATTGGTGCCATGAGCAGACTGTTCAGACATTGCCCACCAACCTGAGGATCTGTCTTCTCTTGCTAAGTTGCTCTGCTGCTTAATGTCTGGCATGTACTTTGACCTGCTGCTTCCGGAGGAGTTAGTGCTTTGAGCTGTGCCGCTCTGTTTATTGTTCTGCCAAATTTGTGAACTAAAAACTCAGACTTCCACATTACAGGGGGAAATGACACAAATCGTGGGGTTTGATTCAAACATAATAAATCTTTAAATTTTTATCATGCAATATAGTCACAAACGAATGAATAAAACATTTATCATAAGTTTTAGTGATAATAATGAAAACATTCTTAGAATCAAGATTTATTACATATATTTATAATATATATATAATTAATATATATAATATATAAATATATTTTATATTATAAATATATATAATTATATATAAATATAATATATATTTATAATATTTTATATAGAAATATATATATTTATAATATAATTATATATATATTTTTTTTGCCCCCGCCGCCGCGGATTCTTGCCCCCGACGCCACGGCTTTTTGCCCCCTACGCCGAGGCTTTTTGCGGCTTTTTGCCCCCGCCGCCGCCCCTTTTTGCCGCCGCAGTTTTTTGCTCCCGCCACCGCGGCTTCTTGCCCCCGCCGCCGCGGCTTTTTGCGGCTTTTTGCCCCTGCGGCATTTTGCCCCCGCCGCCGCCGGTTTTTGCCGCCGTGGCTTTTTACCCCCGCCACCGAGGCTTTTTGTCCCCGCCGCCCCAGCTTTTTGCCCCCACCGCCGCCGCTTTTTGCCACCACCGACGCGGCTCTGAGGGCGGGAGCGGCACACTCGGCTGCCGGCTCTACCGGCGTCCTTGTTCGGGCGGAGCCGAGGGGCGCTCCTGGTCCAGCTCTCCCGGCTCGGGGGTTCCTTGCCTAGGCGCCCGCGCCCCGAGCTCCCCGCCTTGGCCGCTGCGGCCTGCATAGAGCGGCGCTGCGCGTAGCGGCCAGGGGAGAGAAGAAGGAGGGCGGTGGCGGGGGTGATGCGGCGGCCTCTTTGGGAGGCGCAGGGGCCGCAGCCAGCCAGACGCTGCAGCAGTGTGGGCAGCTCCAGAAGCTTGTGGGCAGCTCCAGAAGCTTATCCGCATCTCCATTGGCAGCCTGAGCCGGTTGCGCAACAAGTGCGCTGTGTCCAAGGACCTCACCCAGCAGGAGATACGGACCCTGGAGGTAAGGGGGTCGTGGACCCAGGCTGGGCTCGAGGAGCGGCCCAGACACCTCCCTCCGTGCCCGAGTTCACTCCTGGCCGAGTTGCATCCTTGAGCCCGAGTCGCCCCGTTGGAGGCTTCCCCTCCCTCCTGCACTCGCTGATGCGGCAGCCGGAGGACCCGGGACCAGCCCTCACCTTGGGCAGGATCTGTGGGGCGGGTGCGTCGTGGGAACTGGCAGGGAGGCTTGAGGGGCCCATGGGCGAGGTGGGCTGCGAGCGGACATCCCCTTACCCCCTGAATTTCCATCTGGTCCAGCCCTCTCATCTTGTGGGTGAGGAAACCGAAGGCCTGAGGGAGAACTGACTTGCCTGGAACCCCTGTTAAGGAGAATTAACAAAGTGTGGTTATTAAAGGAGCACTGAGTTGGGAGTGAGACCTGGAGGCCCACACCCTTGGTTAAGACATAATACCACCTTGAGTCTGGCCTGTTGACTGAGGGTGAGCCACTCCATCCTCATCTGATTGTGGGGTCTTGACCTCAAGGGGTTGCCTGAAGGAAGAAGCACATGGGTTTGCTTTCCTAGCTCTGTCCAGTACCTTAGGGACCCTGAGGACTGGAGAGATTCTTGGAGAGCCATCTGGTGTATATCATGGGTGGGCCTTTTTTGAAGGTCAGTCTGCCCAGTGGGCTGGCTCAGCCCCAATGAACTGTCTTGAATCTTTGGAGTTGTCTGGGTACTTTTAAGGGCTTCTCATCCTTGCACCAAAAGATCCCCTGGAAATTAGGTGGGAAAACTTTAACTTTTGTGGGGCCTTGTGTTTGTCTTAAAAGTTCATGCACATGGCCAGATGTGGTGGCTCACACCTGTTATCCTGTCCTGGATCCCTTGAGTCAAGGAGTTTGAGACTAACCTGGACAATATAGTGAGACCCTGTCTCTACAAAAAATAAAATATTAGCCAGTGGTGGTTGTGCACATCTGTAGTCCCAGCTACTACTGTGGCTGAGGTGGGAGGAGCACTTGAGCCTGCACTGAGCTGTGATCTCAGCAGTGTACTCCAGCCTGGGCCACAGAGCAAGACCCTGACTCAAAAAAAAAAAAAAAAAAACCAACAAGAAAAATACTTGAAGATTTTTGCATTCTGTCCCACTACCCATTGGTTGTCATGTGAAGATAATGTCAGAAATTCTTTACAATTGCTTCCAGAAGGAGTAGCCTTTTGATCTAGTGCACAGGTGTCTTTTGGCTTCTCAGGGTCACATTGGAAGAAGAATGCTCCTGGGCCACATATAAAATACACTAATGCTAACGATAGCTGATGAGCTTAAAAAAAAAAAAGGTTTGTGCATAATTTTCATGATACCCACCACCACAGATAGGTGGAAAAGTCCTTGTAGTCAAAGGGTTGGACGCGGCTGACCTAGTGTCTTGTCATCCGTTTTGGCTTTCTCCCTGATTCCAGAATGCAGGTATAGATGTAGAGACGTGCTCTCAGGACAGCTGTTGAGATAAAAAATTCTTTGTCATTTATTCCCAAGCACAGCTGTTTGTCATTTGCATTGAAAAAGTCTCCATTCAAACTGCTGTCACATATAAAATCTATTTATGTAAGTCTGTATTTTTCTGTTGTCTTGGCCTTTTGGGCAGTAGAGTGTTTTAACCGAGCAAACTGTCCTTCCAAATAATGAAGTCGAAGTCAGCCTACCTGCTTGCCATTTTTCTTCCCCTTCCATTTTTCTAACTTCAGGATAATTGTAAGAATGAATTAAACTTTATGTTGAAGGCCGGGCACAGTGTCTCAGGCCTGTAATCCCAGCACTTTGGGAGGCAGAGAGGGATGTATCACTTGAGCTCAGGAGTTGAAGACCAGCCTGGGCAACATACTGAGACTCCGTCTTGTAAAATTAAATTAAAATGTTTAAAAAGAAGAGAAAAAGACCTGTGTTTAAATTTTAAAAAAGGGGAAATTGTAATGCAAAATGTGGACTATGCCAGCTATGATTGGGAAAAATAATTTTTCCTACAGCATTATCTGTAGACTTGTATTAGCAGCATACTGGTCATAAGCGTTTTGCTTTCCTCAAACATGATGAGGTAAGCTACTTTAAAGTGTGGTAGGGCTGTCTTCCACGTGGCTCCTGGTGGTGTTGAGTCCCAATTTAGCCAATTAATTTGGGTTTAGTTTTGATGTGGATAAGGGAGACCAGCTTCATTCATGGTGCACACACAGTTTTGCCAATAAGGGAAAAAAAAAGCAACCTGAATGTTCCTACTCATTAGATGCTATCTGGAGAGCTCCTACCCCACCCCCACCAAGGCCCAGACCCTTAAAAAGACTCAGTGCAGCCTTTCTGTATCTCATACTGTATTCTGCAAGATGCTCCTGTGAAAGAAAGTTGTGCTGCATCAGCCGTCTCCCTCCTGAAGATCCCTGCGGATGAGGATTTGTGTTTTAAAGGTTCTGAGAAGTCCTGCAATGACAGTCCTCAAACTTATTTGTCCAGGGGATCTTTTCTTCCACTGAACGTAGTTGGGGAGACACGGCCTTAAGCCTTGAGCAGAGAAAGAGACAAGAAGCTGTTGGCTCACTTACAACCAAGTGTTGTGTTTATGTGTTAGGTTTTCATGAAACTGAGGTGCTGTTTGAGGTTCTAAATCAAATTGGGTGGTTGAGGAGAGCCTGGTATCCCTGTAGACTTAGCCAGCCATGAGAGGTTGCCTTTTGTTGAAGGAGGTATTTTACAAAGGGAAGTAGGATGTCTCCTGGGCATCACATTAGCACTTAAATATATGTATCACTGAAATGAAATGAAATGATGAAATGGTGAAATGAAATAATGAAATGAAAGGAAATGATGAAATGAAGGAATGAACTGATGAAATGAAATGATAAAATGATGAAATGATGAGATGAAGTGAAATGGTGAAATGATGAAATTAAATGATGAAATGATGAAATGAAATGATGAAATGATGAAATGATGAAATGAAATGATGAAATGATGAAATGGAATGATGAAATGATGAAATGGTGAAATGAGATGAGGAAATGAAATGAAATGACGAAGTGAAATGATGAAATGAAATGAAATGATAAAATGATGAAATGAAAAGATGAAATGATGAAGAAATATGAAATGATGAAATGAAATGAGGAAATGAAGTGAAATGATGAAATGATGAAATAATAAAATGAAATGAAATGATGAATTGATGAAATGAAATGATGAAATGAAATGAAATGATGAGATGAAAAGATGAAATGAAATGATTAAATGAAATGATGAGATGGAAAGATGAAACGAAATGATGAGATGAAATGATGAGATGAAATGATGAAGTGAGGAGATGAAGTGAAATGATGAAATGAAATGATGAAATGATGAAGTGAAATGATGACATGAAATGATGAAATGAAATAATGAAAGGATGAAATGATGAGATGAAATGATGAAAGGAAATGAAATGAAATGATGAAATGAGGAAATGAAATGAAATGATGAAGTGAAATGATGAAATAATGAAACTAAATGAAAAGATGAAATGATGAAATGAAATGATGAAATGATATGAAATGATGAAATAAAGTGAAATGATGAAATGATGAAATGAAATTAAAAGAAATGATAAAATGAAATGATGAAATTATATGAAATAATGAAATGATGAAGTGAAATGATGAAATGATGAAATGATGAAATAATGAAATGAAATGAAATGATAAATTGATGAATTGATAAAATGAAATGAAATGAAATGACGAGATGAAAAGATGAAATGAAATGATGAAATGAAATGACGAGATGAAAAGATGAAATGATGAGATGAAATGAAATGACTAGATGAAATCATGAGATGAAATGGTGTAATGATGAGATGAAGTGAAATGATGAGATGAAATGAAATCATGAGATGAAATGATGAAATGATGAAATGAATGAAATGAAATGAGATGAAATGATGAGATGAAATGATGAGATGAAATGATGAAATGAAAGGAAATGATGAAATGATGAAACAAAATGAAATGAAGAAATGAAATGATGAAAGGAAATGATAAAATGATGAAATGAGATGAAATGTAATGGTGAAATGAGGAAATGAAATGAAATGATGAGATGAAATGAAATGAAATGATGAAATGATGAAATGGAATGATGAAATGATGAAATGATGAAGTGATGAAATGGTGCAATGAAATGAGGAAATGAAATGAAGAAATGAAATGATGAAGTGAAATGATGAAATGAAATGAAATGATGAAATGATGAAATGAAATGAAAAGATGAAATGAAGAAATGATACGAAATGATGAAATGAAATGAAGTGAAATGAAATGATGAAATGATGAAATGAAATGATGAGATGAAAAGATAAAATGAAATAAAATGATTAAGTGAAATGACGAGATGAAAAGATGAAATGAAATGATATGAAATGAAATGATGAGATGAAATCATGAGATAAAATGATGAAATGATGAGATGAAGTGAAATGATGAAATGATGAGATGAAATGATGAGATGAAATAATGAAATGAAAGAATGAAATGAAAGGATGAAATGATGAGATGAAATGAAAGGATGAAATGAAATGATGAAATGAGGAAATGAAATGATGAAACGAAATGATGAAGTGGAATGATGAAATTATGAAATGAAATTAAAAGAGGAAATGATGAAATGATATGAAATGAAATGAAATGATGAAATGAAGTGAAATGATGAAATTAAATGATGAAATGAAATGATGAAATAAATGAACTGAAATGATGATGAAATGAAATGACGAGATGAAAAGACAAAATGAAATGAAATGATGAAATGACGAGATGAAAACATGAAATGATGGGATGTAATGAAATGATGAGATGAAATCATGAGATGAAATGATGAGATGAAGTGAAATGATGAGATGAAATGAAATCATGAGATGAAATGATGAAATGATGAAATGCAATGATGAAATGAATGAAATGAAATGATGAAATGATGAAATGACATGAAAAGATGAAATGATGAAATGAAATGATATGAAATGATGAAATAAAGTGAAATGATGAAATGAAATTAAAAGAAATGATAAAATGAAATGATGAAATTATATGAAATGATGAAATGAAGTGAAATGATGAAATAATGAAATGAAATGATGAAATGATGAATTGATGAAATGATGAAATGAAGTGAAATGACGAGATGAAAAGATGAAACGGTGAAATGAAATGAAGAGATGAAAAGATGAAATGAAATGATGAGATGAAATGAAATGACTAGATGAAATCATGAGATGAAATGGTGTAATGATGAGATGAAGTGAAATGATGAGATGAAATGAAATCATGAGATGAAATGATGAAATGAATGAAATGAAATGAGATGAAATGATGAGATGAAATGATGAGATGAAATGATGAGATGAAATGATGAGATGAAATGATGAAATGAAAGGAAATGATGAAATGATGAAACGAAATGAAGAAATGAATAAATGAAATGATGAAATGAAATGATAAAATAAAATGATGAGATGAAATGTAATGGTGAAATGAGGAAATGAAATGATGAAATGATGAGATGAAATGAAATGATGAAATGATGAAATGGAATGATGAAATGAAATGATGAAATGATGAAGTGATGAAATGGTGCAATGAAATGAGGAAATGAAATGAAGAAATGAAGTGAAATCATGAAATGAAATGAAATGATGAAAAGATGAAATGATGAAATGAAATGATATAAAATGAAATGATGAGATGAAGTGAAATGATGAAATGATGAAATAATGAAATGAAATGATGAAATGATGAATCGATGAAATGAAATGATGAAATGATGAGATGAAAAGATAAAATGAAATAAAATGATTAAATGAAATGATGAGATGAAAAGATGAAATGATGAGATGAAATGAAATCATGAGATGAAATGAAATCATGAGATAAAATGATGAAATGATGAGATGAAGTGAAATGATGAGATGAAATGATGAGATGAAATGATGAAATGAAAGGATGAAATGATGAGATGAAATGAAAGGATGAAATGAAATGAAATGATGAAATGAAATGAAATGAAATGATGAAGTGGAATGATGAAGTGGAATGATGAAATTATGGCCTGGCTGGCTGGCTGGCATGGCTGGCTGGCTGGTTTTGGCTGGGTGGCTTGGCTGGCTTGGCTGGCTTGGTTGGCTGGCAGGCTTGGCTGGCTGGCTGGCTTGGCTGGCTTGGTTGGCTGTGTGGCTTGGCTGGCTTGGCTGGCTGGCTGGCTTTGGCTGGGTGGCTTGGCTGGCTTGGTTGGCTGGCAGGCTTGGCTGGCTGGCTGGCTTGGCTGGCTTGGTTGGCTGTGTGGCTTGGCTGGCTTGGCTGGCTGGCTGGCTGGCTGGCTTGGCTGGCTTGGTTGGCTGTGTGGCTTGGCTGGCTTGGCTGGCTGGCTGGCTTGGCTGGCTGCCTGGCTGGCTTGGCTGGCTTGGCTGGTTGGCTGGCTTGGCTGGATGGCTGGCTGTGGCTGGGTGGCTTGGCTGGCTTGGCTGGCTGGGTGGCTTGGCTGGCTTGGCTGGCTGCTGTGGCTTGGCTGGCTGGGCTGCCTGGGTGGCTTGGCTGGCTGGCTTGGCGGCTTGGGTGGCTTGGCTCGCTTGGTTGGCTTTGCTGGCTGGCTTGGCTGGCTTGGCTGGCTTGCCTGGCTGGCTGGCTTGGCCGGCTTGGCTGCCTGGCTGGCTTGGCTGGCTTGGCTGGCTGGCTTTGGCTGGGTGGTTTGGCTGGCTTGGCGGGCTGGGTGGCTTGGCTGGCTTGGCCGGCTGGGTGTCTTGGCTGACTTGGCTAGCTTGTCCGGCTGGGTGGCTTGGCTGCCTTGGCCGGCTGGATTTCTTGGCTGGCTTGACTGGCTGGCTGGCTTGGCTGGCATGGCTGGCTGGCTGGCTAGGCTGGCTTGGATCGCCGGCTGGCTTTGGCTGGGAGGCTTGGCTGCCTTGGCTGGCTGGGTGGCTTGGCTGGCTTGGCTGGCCTGGCTGGCTGGGTGGCTTGGTTTGCCTGGCTGTCTGGCTGGCTTGGCTGGCTGGCTGGCTTTGGCTGGGTGGCTTGGCTGGCTTGGCTGGCTGGCAGGCTTGGCTGGCTAGCTGGCTTGGCTGGCTTGGCTGGCTGGCTGGCTTGGCTGGCTTGGCTGGCTGGCTTGGCTGGCTTGGCTGGCTGCCTGGCTGGCTTGGCTGTCTTGGCTGACTGGCTGGCTTGACTGCCTGGCTGGCTTTGGCTGGGTGGCTTGGCTGGCTTGGCTGGCTGGGTGGCTTGTCTGGCTTGGATGGCTTGGCTGGCTTGGCCGGCTGTGCTGGCTTGGCTGGCTTGGCTCGCTGGGTGGCTTGGCTGGCTTGGGTGGCTCTGTGGCTTGGCTGGCTGGGCTGCCTGGGTGGCTTGGCTGGCTGGCTGGCTTCGCTGGCTGGTTGGCTGGCTGGCTTGTCTGGCTGGGTGGCTTGGCTGGCTTGGCTGGCTGCGTGGCTTGGGTGGCTTGGGTGGCTTGGATGGCTTGGATGGCTTGGCTGGCTATGTGGCTTGGCTGGCTTGGCGGCTTGGGTGGCTTGGCTCGCTTGGGTGGCTTTGCTGGCTGGCTTGGCTGGCTTGGCTGGCTTGCCTGGCTGGCTGGCTTGGCTGGCTTGGCCGGCTTGGCTGCCTGGCTGGTTTGGCTGGCTGGCTTGTCTGCCTGGCTGGCTGGCTTGGCTGACTGTGTGGCTTGGCTGTCTTGGCTGTCTTGGCTGGCTGGCTGGCTTGTCTGGCTGGCTGGCTGTCTTGGCTTGCTTGGCTGGGTGGCTTGGCTGGCTGGGTCGCTTGGCTGGCTTGGCTGGCTGGCTGGCTTATCTGGCTTGGCTGGCTGGCTGGCTTTGACTGGGTGGCTTGGCTGGCTTGCCTGGCTGGGTTGGTTGGCTGGCTTGGATGGCTTGGCCGGCTGGGTGGCTTGGCTGGCTTGGCTGGCTGGGCCGGCCTAGCTGGCTTGGCTGGCTGGCTGGCTTGTTTGGCTTGGCTTGGCTTGGCGTGTGCGGCAGCCGAGGCTGGGGCTGTGACTTCTACAGAGGTTGGTGCGACAGGGGGCATCCCTGCCCTCCCAGGGTCTGCCTGTGGGTCATGGGGAACATGGTTCGAGGCCCCTCCTGTAGCCACACAGCAGTGTGTTGCTGCGTGAGTGGTCTTGTCTGCAGGCTTTAAACTCAGCCGGGTCGTTTGTGCCACGTGGGGTCTGCGCCGCCCCAGGGGCCGCATCTCTTTCAGCCACAGGATGTGCATCTTAGGGTTGCAGCAGATGGGGCTCCTGTGCCATGTGGGGTCCAACCCCTTGGCCTGAGCAAGGCGGCCAGTGGGCATTGTGCTGGTGACGACCTCCAGCCTCTGTTCCTTCCCTGGCTCTGAGTCATAAAGGCCTCCCAGTCCCACCTGGGAGCCGTGTCTCCTCTAGGAACTGCTGGGCATGGCTGGGTCCGGTCTGCCTCATTCCTGCATCTGATGCCCACCAGTTCTTCCCCAACTCCCCCATTCTCTATCTCCCCCTTCTCCTCCATCTCCTCCATCTCCCCCGTCCCCTCCGTCTTGCCCGTCTCCATTTCCTCCAACTCCCCCTTCTCCATGTCATGGCTGTCTAGGCTCCATCCCTCCGCAGGCTCGGTCCCCCCTTGTTCTGGGCAGGGCTCTGGGTGCCGGTCTGGTGCCAGTGCTGGGAGCCTGTGGTGCCCGTCACCCCTGCTCCACCTTGAGGAGCTGTGTCCTGTCCCACGAGGAGGTGCCCCGGGACCTCAGGGCTGCAAGCCATGGCTGGGTCCGGCTCTGCCTCATTCCTGTATCTGATGCCCCCCAGTTCTCCCCCATTTCCCCCTTCTCCATCTCCTCTGTGTCTCCCGTCTCATGGCTGTCCAAGCCCCATCCCCCACCCAGGCTGGGTCCCCTCATTCTGGGAAGCCCGTCTTGCCATGCCCATCCCTGCCGCCCCTCAGGACAGCGCTCTGGATGCCGGTCTGGTGCCAGTGCTGGGAGCCTGTGGTGCCCGTCACCCCTGCTGCACCTTGAGGAGCTGTGTCCTGTCCCACAAGGAGGTGCCCGGGGACCTCAGGGCCATGGCTGGCATCGTTGCTGTGGAGTGGCTGTCACCTTTCATGGTCATCCTGCAACAGAGCTCCTGCTGCTTCTGGGTGAACCTGGGGCTGCCCCCGTGAACACTCTTGGGTCTGACATGAAGGGACCATGTGAGGGAGGGGTGGGGTGGGCTGGGTCCCTGCATGGGGATCGCCAAGGGGTGATGGCCACGAAATGCCAGGGACCCAAGATTGTCATTCACAGAGGGTGAGGTGGGGATGCCAGAGGCGCCTCTGCCTGGAACACCCTGGCTTCTGTCCTAGCAGGATGCTGGACGCTGGCCACGGTGAGGGTGATGCAGGTGCTTTTCTTGTGGGGTCCCTGGCCCACCTCACACGTGAGCTCTCAGGGAAATGGACCCCCAGAACTCGTGGAGGGCAGGACCGCTGGGCTCTGGGTCTCACCGCAGTGCTGCCGTCCACGAGGACCCCCCACTTCTCCAGCAAAGGTGTGGGTGTGCATGCCCGGCCCTGGCACAGCCCAGAGCATCTGGGGCCGTGGCTAGGGAAGGACGGGGTGCTTGGGGAATGCAGTGGGTATGGGGATGTCGGAGGACACTCAGGCTGTGCAGGAGCCTCACCAGGGATGTGGGTGGGGGACGCTGTCTTTCGTTTCACAGCCCCAGGGAGGCTTCTGATGTCTCAGCCTTGAACCCTAATTGGGGGGCTCCTAGTGTCAGTGTGGGAAGCTGAGGGTCCCAGTCAGAGGTGAACCCCTCACTTCTGGCCCCTCACTCCCATGACCATGGGCTCCAGCTCATAGGTGTGTGTGAGGGGTGTCCTGAGGTGGTGTGGGGCAGACATGCTCTCCCAGATGGGCTCCCCGGAGCTTGGGGCAGGGTGGGGCCTGCAGGCTGTGGCTCCCAGTGTCACTTCCCTGCAGCAGCCACAGTCAGACTCTCCGGCCCTGCACCTGTCCTGTTGTTGGGGACCCTGACCCTTCGCAGACCCAGGTGGGGGCATCCGGGAATTCAGGGGAGCACCTGGTGACAGAGGACACCTTGGGGGCAGCAGCCATTTCCCTGGGAGGTGCGGCCAGTCTACCCACTGCCTGGAGCCCGCACCGTCTCTCCTCAGGGGTCATGGGACCACCCTGTGCATCCACCTCCTTCACAGCCACAGCTGCCAGTAGATTAACGGGGCGTGTGTGCTGCTCTTGGGGTGGTCCCGGCCCGGCCCGGCCCTGCCCTCCCCACCAAGTGCCCAGGGCCGCCCTGCCCGCCTGTGCCCTGCCCTGTAGATGCTGCCACCTCCCTTTCCTGGGGGAGCATTTTGTCTTGTGTGAGGACGGGGTCATTCCCATGGTCACCACCTGTGACCCTCCCCTGCTTGCAGAGGGAACAGAGCTGGGCCTGGGCTTATCCATGTCGGGTGCCCCTGGGGGACCTGGGGGCTCGTGGCCTCCCCTGCACACAGGGCTCCTCCTGGCGGGGCCTCCGAACCCCCTCATTTAGGTGTCGCTGCACGTGGCTCCCAGGTGTGGACGTCCCCACTCTGGCGAGGGCTCCTTCCTTCTGGGGTCGTTTGTGGAATGTGGCCTGGGTCCATGGCTCTGGGAGGGAACAGCCCAAGGGTGGGGACCCCTGGCTGGGGAGGAGGCCCCGCAGAGAGGCCCAGACTGTATCCCGATGCATCTGGCGTGGCCGCGGTCCCCCTCCAGCGCCGACGTTTGTAAATTCTGAAAGGAGCCATGCTGTGGCTGAGGGAGCCAAGCCCGTGACTGAAAAATCCTCCAAACATTCATTCAAAAATACAAGTGTGATCGCCAGAAACGCTTTTGTACATTTACACAAAACATTCATACAGGCCATGGCGGAGGCTCCTGTCTAGGACTGGCAAGGCGCCCGGGAGCCGCCGGTCACCCTTGTGCCTACACAGACCCTTTCCAGAAAGATGCAGGCCCTGGAACTGAGGCCGAGTCAAGTCGGGAATGGCAAGTGCCGGAGGGTGTCAGTCAGAACAGTGTCAGAACCTGTCCTGTTCACGAGCGGCCCTACATGTCCCCCGGGCACAGAGCTCTAGGCAGGTCCAGCCACGAACCCACAGCGGCAATCAACACGCTTCTGTGAATAAATAAAAATTTATCATTCCATGCAAACACACTCATTTTCCACAAAAGACAACAGTTTTTACACAAGCGGCGGTGTCCCAGTGGTGGCCGTGGCACGTGTGGAGCGGCCCCGCAGCGGCGTTCTCATGGGTGGCGTCACAGTGGCTCCAGGTCCTCATCCCCGCATGCATACTCGTACAGGTCCACGGCGCCCAGGGGTGAGGGCACCTCGAAGAAGGGCCTCTGGGCCAGCGGGGACTGCAGCGCACTCAGCTTCTGCTCCACAGGTCTGAGCTCGGCCTCGAACCTGCAACGAGGGGATGGTGAAGACGTGGACAGCGGCGTGGAGCAGGCCCTGGGCCCTGTTTTCCGAGAAATGCAGGCTGCTCCGCAGCCAACCTCCAGCACGAGAAAGTCCCCTGAGCAGACCTTGAGCTCCAGCCGCTGACCCCGCAACAGGCTCCTGGCTGAGAAAGCCGGCTCCACCAACGCTCCCGGGGGAGGGGCCAGCGGTGCAGGTGAAAACCCACCCAGGACGGGACGGAGCCCCAGGCATGAGGTGCACAGAGAGGAACCGGGCGGGCTCATCTTTTCCCCAAAGCGACACGACGGTGACTCTCAGAGGGCAGCCTCTGAGCTGCAAGGGGCCTGTGTTTACACAACTGGGTCATGGTGTCTACACAGGATTGGAGAACAAACGGGACCACGGTTTGGACAAATTCTCCCAAAGCACAGAAGCTCCTAGTGGAGGCCACCACTTCCATTCTGACCAGAACACACAGCAGTGCGAGGACTGGACGCGCACCTTCCGTTAAGGTCTCGGCAGTGACATCGGGCGCTACTCCGGGGAAACCAGCGCGGCCACCGACAACACAGTCTCATAGAGATCCTGCAGGGACACCTCTGCTTTCCAAGATGCCCCCCACAGCCTGGCACTGAGCTCCCACTGCCGGAGCAGGCATGGACACGGTGAAGGCAGTCAACCCCAGTGTGGTGCTGGCCACTGGTCAGGTGTGGAGCAGAGGTGACAGACGGTGGTGGGGACAGGTGCATACCCATCCAGGCTATGTCTGGGGGACACAGCTGCCTCAGGGTGTCTGGCAGGAGAAGGCAGACTGGGAAGTTCTGGGGGAGTGGGGACCCAGAGGTGGGCTGCCAGGTCAGAGCCACTGTGCAAATAACTGATCACAAGGAGGACAGACACACAGGACAGATGGCCCAGGGTAAGAAATTTCCTCAGGAAAGGCTCTGGTAGAGGAATCACAGTTAGATGAACCAAAGCTTCAAATTCTACATTTTCATACATATATATATATATATATATATATATATATACACACACATATACACAACTTTAGCAATAAAAAACAAGTAGACTTTAATACTCGTATACTTTATAATTCATTTTGGAACTGCCTCATTCTCCCTTTAGCTGGTCACTGTGCACCTCGTGTTCTCAGTCTCTCCACCAAAAAAAAAATTTCCTCAGGAAAGGCTCTGAGAGAGGAATCGTAGTTAGATGAACTAAAGCTTCAAATTCTACATATATATATATATATTTAGCAGTAAAAACAAGTAGACTTTAATACTCTTATACTTTATAATTCATTTAGGAAAAGAAGGAACACCTTTGCAGCTACTCCTGCTAAGTTACCAAGAGTTTTTTCAATACTAATCTTCACAATTCATATTCAAATACTAAGAATCCCTAATCCCTTTAAAAATACATTTGTATTTCCAATAATTTGATATAGGCTCTCAAAAAGTCATTACATTTTGAGGGTAAAATCGAAACAACCTAAACATTAATGCCAAGTAATGAATATAATAGTTCACACATATTAAACAGTTAATTCATATGTGTAATACATTGTTACATATATACTTATACACAAAAACAAACATGTATGTGTATAAAATCTCAACAAATCCGATAAGAATTATTAGAACTAGTAATTAGACACTGTTGTTCTACTTCTGTAACCCATGATCTTAAACCATTATAGAATAAACCTTAAAAGCAATCATTATTTTCAAAGACAATTTTGAAACTTGCCTTGTGCGAGTTAGTAAATAACTGTGCTCCTTGGTTTCCTCATCTGTTACATGGGTAGAACCTACACTGTTACATAAAGATTAGAGCAGTTAATAGATAGAATATTTTAGTATTTATAGATCTAGAATATAAAAAGGAATTAATAAGTTTTAAGGAGAAAAAATAAGGGAAAAATAGTCTCATTTTCAAGCCTACTAAACATAAAATGTTTCTTACATTTAATTTATACATGCAGGGTAGGTCACTATACTAAAAATAAAGCACATTTAATTTGAAATTTTAGAAAGGGTAGATTGTTCTTATTTAGAGAATTGCAATACATTTTAATTTGTGAGCAGGAGGTCATGGTGTTATTTAGAAACAGTGACAAGAAACTTTTTTTGGCTATTATAAATGGAAATGGAAAAAAAGAAAGAAAAGCCAAGAGTAGTCATTTGACTCCAACAAGTAGTTTTTAAAAACTATTTCATTTGATTATCAGCTTCAGTTTCAAACGTTATATATCTGATAAACAAAACACAAAGGAAAAGCTTGATAATTAACAAAAAACTCTATAGTATTTCCTTTTTTTCATCTTTTTCCAGGTCAGACTCTTGCAAGCACTGGGAAATTAGTGTTTATTTAAGATTTAATGACAATGTTAATGCCACTGTCAATCTGTATTCTTTATCTAGAAAGGCAAATCTGATTTACATTAACCTGAACACCTTAATAACTAATTAAAATCAGCCTTCTGGCTAAGTTCTTAGACATTTATTCTGTTTAACTCAGCAACAAAATATTATTAGTCACTTTCTTTTGAGAAAGGTGAGTCTAATTTATTGGTACTATTAGGGCATTTTATAATCTGCAACCTAATTAGCCTTAACAAAGTATTTTGTACTCAGCATGACTCAAATATTTTACTGAACTTACTGAAAAAGAATGCTGCCATTGCATTTCCACTCTAATATACTGCAGTGATTTTGTGTTTGCACATATTTGTCCATGTCATATGTTTGCTTGAAAGAATGTAAAACAAAGAATGCATATAGATTATTAAAGAAATCCTCCCAAATTTGTTCACATATATTAGATCCTAAAACTAAATAGGTGCTTTTTTCTGAATTGAAATAGATTAACAGAACATATTAACTGAAATAACTGTCCTATTATTTATAATTCTTACCAGACACATGCAATTGAGCCTATGACTGAGGATGAAGACTCTATAAAGGACATCGCTCAAGTATACAATATGATTTTCTTTAATTTTGATCTGAAAGACTTGTTAATAGAAAGACTGAAGTTCTGTCAAACAAATTGATTACATTTCTACTGGATTTCGGAAATACGTAGCATCTGTGATAAATTAAAGTACTTAATCATCACTTATTGTCTTTAGTGTACAATTTATTATATCTCTATTTTTATACCCCTCAAAGTATTTGCAAAATTAATAGAACTTTCTTAAGAATACAGTGACTGTCCTCAAAATCCACTTAAAATTGGTAGCCTCAAATTTATATTTCATCTACTCTTCCAAAATAATTATTGTATTGTTGGTTTTAAATCTAACATCTCACTATTTTCTATTTTATCATATGCTTTTCTGATGCATTTTTTTTTCTGCTTTATGTTGATTTTTATGATCTTTTTTTTCTTTATTAGGTTTTAGGTGTAACTCTTTTTATTTTTGTAGTTACTTCATAGTTCATAATATGCAGCTTTAACTTATCACAGTCTACCTTCAAATGATATTACATCACTCAGACTGATTTGTGAGTACAGAGAGACTGGGCAGGGACATATATGATTTATCAGAAGCACCTGACTCTTTTAAAAGGCTCACTAATCTTAGTAAAATAAACCCATACAGAAAATTCTTTTATTTTAAGGTGAGTAAACATGCACACACATGGCCCTTCAAGGTCATTCTGTCAGCCAGCCTTAATCCAACCCATGAGATACCAATTTGCTAGTTTATGATCATTGCCATAGAACAGTTTTTTTTATTTTAAATTCTAAGTTTAAACTGAAGATTCAATGGAGGTGGAACTAGTTTTCTTTTTGAGCAAGAAAATAACTCAATTAAATGTACTATGTCTCAAAATATGCAGTATACACACCATCATGAAAACGAGACAAGAGTAAATAAATTATGACATCTAGAAAATTAGGTAAGACACTGTTCAATAATGAGGCAAAATAGGATGTGGATGTCACCTACGCTATCAAATAGAAATGTGGGGTTTCATCGAATAAATCTGAGGTTGAATGTATAGAACATTATTTCAAATATGTCTTGATTTGTATTTAAACTTATATCCTATAAAATCATGCAGAATATGAGGAGTCATTATCTAATTTTAAGTAGGAAAAATATGAATCAGTACTAATAATAAAAACTAATAATTTACTCAATGCCAGGCAATGTTTCTAGTGTTTTACATTTTCAGAAAACAATTATAACTGTGAAGAAAACAATTCTTCACTTTTCAAGAAAGAAAACCAAAGTAATGAGAAACTAAGTAAGTGGCCCACCCAAGGTCGTATAGTTAAGAAATGACTAAGTTGTAGACCTTATAGACCTTAACATGTTTTATTTGTTTGCTTGTTTTGAGATGGCATCTCACTCTGTCGCCCAGGCTGGAGTGCAGTGGCACGATCTCGGCTCACTGCAAGCTCTGCCTCCTGGGTTCATGCCATTCTCCTGCCTCAGTCTCCCAAGTAGCTGGGACTACAGGCGTCCACCACCATTCTCGGCTAATTTTTTTGTGTTTTTAGTAGAGACAGGGTTTCACCATATTAGCCAGGATGGTCTCGATCTCCTGACCTCGTGATCCATCTGCCTCGGCCTCCCAAAGTGCTGGGATTACAGGCATGAGCCACCACACCCAAGAGACCTTAACATGTTTTTAA
This sequence comes from Homo sapiens, assembly GCF_000001405.40. Taxonomy (NCBI): domain Eukaryota; kingdom Metazoa; phylum Chordata; class Mammalia; order Primates; family Hominidae; genus Homo; species Homo sapiens. Next base: position 223,310 of record NT_187383.1, on the reverse strand, counting down.
GTAAAATGTATTATTTTTCATGTATAATGTTTGCTCTGTCTCTCATATATACATAAAAATATAATCATGAAGAGAATTATAATAGCCAACTTTATATTTCAGAGATATTGGCTTGGCATTGCTTTCAGCAGGTATTTTGACATTAGCCTCTGGAGTGGAGTTGGGGACAGGTTGATTTCAATGTTTCAAAAATATATGAGAACTGTGAACCTATGTTAGTGGATTGCCTATTCGTGACTTCTAGTTGAACACTATCAAAATTGACAACTAAAAAAAAAATGAAATGAGAGAAAATGTTTATAGCACTTAAGAGGATAAATTAGTTTCTTTATGTCTAGATTTTATATTAAATAAAGAGCTTTCAGGAAAAGTAAATGACAGTTAATGATTTTGATTATAATCAGTCAGATTTTTTCCATATTTGAGCAAAAATTGTAATTGACTTATCCACTGCTTTCAGTGTAGATTAGCTGAATCATCTAACTTATGTCATCTCTTATAAAAATATTGATTGAGATGAAAAATGAATAAATGATTTATCTTAAAACAGTTCTATGTTGATAATATAAAAAATACTGACAGTTTCATCTAAAATATGTTTGGATAAGCTACATTATATATGATTCAGATTCATATCTTATGTATAATTTTTATATGATATTTGATTTGGTTCATACACAAAGGAACAAATGTTTCTATGTAAGAAAGTTATTTTGCTTATTACAGAATTTAAAACTAAAATGATTCTTCCACGATGGCCATTTAACAATTTAAATTTAGGAAACATCTGGCATGTTCAACTGAGTATTTACTTTGCATAATTGTGTTCCATATCTTAATGCATTCCCTTTAGCAGTTTCTTTCAGCAAGCAACACATGTAAACTTGTTTCTCGCTAAATATTTTTTATTTAGCAAAGTTTTAGACCTAGAGATTTAAAGAAAAATTGAAAAGATGTTACAAAGATGAACTCTTGAACCGAATCTTTTATTTTTAAGCATGCAAAACGGTGTGGTTTTTTAAAACCCTGAAGACATAAATGTACAACTGAGAACCCAAAGAAAATTGGACTGTTTTGTTTTGTGATTTGATGTCTGAAAAATAAAATCCTTTAGTTTCCTTTCATTTTTCCTGAGAGAATATAAACTGTGTTGTGATGTCAAACTCATTCTGAGTTTAGATGCCCCATGGGCAAATCGTTTCATCTAATTAAAACAAAATGAAGACAAATCTCTTACACATAAATCTTTGATGGTGGGAAATGTAGCTTCATGTTTTTAAAGCCTTCACAGAAGACAAAGTACCTCTCAATCTTGTAACTCTACTTTTTATAGCTACCTAATTATTAAGGCATATTTGATATACTGTAATCAATTTATATTTGTGTTTTGTTTAATAATTGGGATCCTTTGGACCGTTTGCTGCAAATATCCTATATTTAAAAAAAAAACTTTGTCTAAATATATCATGTAGAAAAATATTTATACCTAAAAATATAAACTCCATTAACAAAAATTGTTCAGCAAAACTCTATTAATTCAATACACTGTATGGTTAATTTTTGTAGCCAATTTTTCCTTTTCTTCTCTCTAATGATGTGATGTTCTTCAATGTCTTCTGAAAACTTGAGCATAGGAAGTTGGAAGTGTATAAAGCAAAACAAATAGTAAGGAGATAATTTAGAATGCTAATTTTTGAAGGGAAAATATAAATTTTACAACTCTTAGATTGCATTTTAAATTTATATTATCTGTATTTAAGTATTTAAGTTGATTTTCACCAGTGTGTTAGTGTGTTTGTGTTGTTGTAAAACAAATAACTAAGACTGGGTCATTTATAAAGAAAATAGATTTATTTGGCCCTTGGTTCTGCAGATTGTACACAATGCATAGTGTCAGCATCTGCTTGTGGTGAGGGCCTCAGGAAGATTACAATCATGGCAGAATTTGAAGGGGAGCCAGCATGTCATAGGGCAAGAGAGGGAGCAAGAGAGAGAGAGGGAAGGTGCCACACTCTTAAACAACTAGATCTCCTGTAAACTCTTTACCACTTATTACCCAAGGGAGGGAACCAAACCATTCATGAGGGATTTGCCCCCATGACCTAATACCTCCCACTAGGCCTCACATCCAACAATACAGGTCACATTTTAATATGAGATTTGGAGGGGATAAAACATCCAAACCATATCAACTGTTCACTGCTAACTACTAAGTCAAAGAATTAATTTTTTACAGGCAATGTATTTTTTTTCTTCATTCAAAAGAAAAATACTTGACTGGACCTTATGAGGAGAAAATGTTAATCTCTTGCAGTTTTTAATTAAATAAAATAATTTGAGGCTATTTTTGCAAATTAAGGCCATTGAGAAGGACTCTAGACTGTAAAAAGATTCCAGACATTTTCTATAAACATATTTCATTATATATATATATATATATATATATATATATATATATATATATATATAGTTGTTATCATAGTAGATTTACACCATTGCCATCTGGAAGTAATTCCCTTATTCAACACAGAAGGATTTCTCATCCTTCTCCTAAATATTTTCTTCTAGCTCAGAGTGCCTGTGGCCAAAAACAAGAGATTTTAAAACAACAACAAAAACAAAAAAGTCTGCTATCCCCATATGGGTTATCTTTCTTTTGTAGTCTTCTTTTTACTTGAGTTAAAATATTTCCTTTGAATTCAGACTGACAAAGATATTGAAGGACATCGAATGTCGTTTAGAGCACTGTTCCTGCGCCTGTTTTCACTAGATCAATAGTGGAGGTGACTGGAGATATTGGAAGAAAGAAATAAACTAGGGTAGCTCATATCACCCATTCCATGTTTTTTGTCTTTAGGATGTCCCAGCCTGCAGTGAAAATGAATTCTGTTCTGCCTCTGCTATGCGGTAAATTTAGCAATAAAGTTTCTGCTCTGTGCCCTGTACTGGAGTGTAGTGTAGGAAAATCCCTGTTGCTAAGCACCACGCCAACAACACCATGAGCTACAGAGCTCACATGTTTATTTCATTATGCTTTACTTCTGTTTTTTTTTTTTTTTGTTGTTGTTGTTTTGAGATGGAGTCTGGCTCTGTAGCCCAGGCTGGAGTGCCATGGTGCAATCTCGGCTCACTGCGAGCTCCGCCTACCTGGTTCACGCCATTCTCCTGCCTCAGCCTCCGAAGTAGCTGGGACTACAGGCGCCCACCACCACGCCCAGCTAATTTTGTATATTTTTATTAGAGACGGGGTTTCACCGTGTTAGCCAGAATGGTCTCGATCTCCTGAGCTCATGATCCACCTGCCTCGGCCTCCCAAAGTTCATTATGCTTTATTTCTATGTCTATCTTGAATTGTTTCATATTCAGAGAAAACAGGAAGGTAAGTTGTTAACATTCTTCATTGCAACAAATTTTTAGAACTAATTCTATATTGAGGAATGTCTTACATTTTAACCAAAACCTTTTGATAAATTACAAAGTTGCTGAATATATCTAGATCTAAATCTTAAACTATATCTATAGCTATTATATAGATGTATATGATTTATCAAGAGCTATTATCTGGAATATATACTTGATTCCTTTTACAATTTTCATAATGTAACCAGAAAATGACCCTTGAGATCCTTGAGAGTGATTATATAAACATACCCTTGATTTGCTATCTCCAGCCTAATTATCACAGTTAAAATTTTGGTATCAAAAATGGAGCAAAGATAATAAGACTTGTAAAGCAGCAGACCTTACAAAATGTTAAAAACAATTTTATTTACATAGTGCATCCACACAGACCTAATTATATGTATTAAACCTAATGTTTAACATTATTAGCAAGTCAGAGAATTTAGAAAAATCAGACATAATTTTAGATAAAATAAATATTAATACTAGTCATTAATATAATCCGTTTGATAAAATGACTATATGAAAATAACTGCCCTCAAATTATTTTCAGCTCACATATTTTTAATGAAAGGAGATGGTGGCTGGAGGCAGTGGCTCACGCCTATAATGACAACACTTTGGGAGGCCAAGGCCGCGGATCACTTGAGATCAGGAGTTCAAGACCAACCTGGCCAACCTGGTGAAACTTTATCTGTACTAAAAATACAAAAGTTAGCTGGTTGTGGTGGTGGGCGTAATCCTAGCTACTCAGGAGGCTAAGGCAGGAGAATCACTTGAACACAGGAGGTGGAGGTTGTAGTGAGCCAAGATGGTGCTACTGCACTCCAACCTTTGTGAGAGATCAAAACTCTGTCTCAATGAATAAATAAACAAGGAGATGGTATGGAATCATTATTAATTTTGGGCCCCTCATGTTAGCTAATATGTTTAAACCTAGGTCAAGATAGAAACTGACCCAGATTATTACCATGTTTCAGTGCATAATATTTTAAAATAATTCAACACTGACACATAATACTATGCTATTCCACTTAGATATAAAAAAATGGTAAGAGAAGTCTCATGTTCTTGTCCCGGCATGGTCACTTACACCTGTAATCCTAGCACTTTGGGAAGCCAAGTGGGGAGGATCCCTTGAGGCCAGGAGTTTGAAACCAGACTAGGCAACACAGTGAGACCTATATCTACAGAAAATTTAAAAACTAGCTGGGCATTGTGGCAAGCACCTGTAGTCCCAGCTACTGGGGAGGCTGAGGAGGGAGAATTGCTTTGCTCAGGAGTTCCAGGCTACAGTGAGCTATGATCACATCACTGCACCCCAGCCTGCGTAATACAGTGAGACCCTGTCTCTTAAACAAACAAAAAATAATCCCAGAACTCTAATGTTCTTATATGATATAGGACTTTTAAAAATTAGCCAGGCATGGTGGTGCATGCCTGTAGTCCCAGCTACTTGGAAGGCTGAGGCACGAGAATCACTTGAGCCTTGGAGGCGGAGGTTGCAGTGAGCCGAGATCATGCCACTATACTCCAGCCTGGATGATAGAGCGAAACTGTCTCAAAATAAATAAATAAATGAATGAAAGTACACCGAAAGTTTTAACTTAACAAATTTTATTTATGCCTCACATTGATGGAGTGATAAAAACAAATAAGTAATACTAATGAACGTATAGGATATTTTACAATTTTTTAAAAAATTAGAACTTTATGTATACAAAGTAATTTAATTTTTTTTTTGTTTTTTTGAGATGGAGCCTCGGTCTATCACCAGGCTGGAGTGCAGTGGTGCGATCTCAGCTTGCTGCAACCTTTGCCTCCTGGGTTCAAGCAATTCTCCTGCCTCAGCCTCTCCAGTAGCTGGGACTACAGGCACGCAGCACCACACCCGGCTAATTTTTTGTATTTTTAGTAGAGATGGGGTTTCACCATGTTGGCCAGGATTGTCTCGATCTCTTGACCTCATGATCCACCCGCCTCGGCCTCCCAATGTGCTGAGATTACAGGTGTGAACCACCATGCTCGGCTGCAAAGTGATTTAAATTTATCAACAATTTTATCTTAACGCAAAATTTTTGTCATTTGTGATATTTTCCAATAGCTTATCCGAATTCCTTAGGATCAGATTTCAAAATAAGATTTCCAAGTCAGATTCTTTGAAATTACAATCCAAAAATATTTAGATTTTAGAAAGGTAATGTGGTAAATATTCTGCCTATTATGGAATAACTCTAGTGGCAAATCATATGAATAATCACATGAACTGGGATCAATAAGACTATAAATACCCCTGGTCAGGTGCAGTGGCTCACACCTGTAATCCTAGCACTTGGTGAGGTTAAGGTGGGTGGATCACAAGGTCAGAAGATCGAGACCATCCTGGCTAACACAGTGAAACTCTGTCTCTACTAAAAATACAAAAAATTAGCTGGGCATGGTGGCAGGCACATGTAGTCCCAGCTACTCGGGAGGCTGAGGCAGGAGAATGAATGGCGTGAACCCAGGAGGTGTAGCTTGCAGTGAGCCAAGATTGAGCCACTGCACTCCAGCATGGGTGACAGAGCAAGACTCCGTATCAAAAAAAAAAAAAAAAATTAGCTGGGTGTGGGCAGGTGCCTGTCATCCCAGCTACACGGGAGGCTGAGGCAAGAGAATTACTTGAAAACAAGAATTGGATGTTGCAGTGAGCCAAGATCATGCCATTGCACTCCAGCCTGGGCAAGAGCAAAAACTCTGTTTAAAAAAAAAAAAAAAAAAAAAAAAAAACTATAAATACCCCTACATCAGCATAGATCAGATTTTCCAAAACTTAGGTTTAGGTATTCATAACTGTTGAATTTTGTAATTCCACATGAAGAATTGTAGATCTGCATATATTTTCAAATACTAATATTTATAATTACATAGTTTATAATTTATAAGTCCAATTTTTGGTTATTTTCATTATTAATACTTTTCCAGTCATCTACCCTTTCTAAAAGAGAATACAAAATGCTTCTTTTCCTTTTTTTTTGTTTTCAAGGCTAGAACCAAGATGGGGCAAAGGCCGGGGCAGATCTAGGGCACAAGCAGGGCAGGCTAGGGCAGGGCAATGGCAGGGCCAGCCATGGCAGGGCACAGGTGGGGCAGGGTCAGTGCCACGGCTGGGGCAGGACAAGGACGAGGACCGGGGTCCAGGCCAGGGCAAGGGTATGGCCAGGGCAGAGGTAGGGCCAGAGCCAGGGTCTGGGCAGGACCAAGGCAGGTCCATTGCAGGGCCAGGGTTCAGACCAGGGCCAGAGTAGGGCTGGGACAGGGCCAGGGCCAGGACCTGGAAAGGGCAATGTCAGGACAAGGGCCATGGCAGGACCAGCAACGGGGCTAGGGCCAGGACAGGGACAGGGAGAGGGTCAGGGCTAGGGCCAGAATAGCATACCAGGGTAGAGCCAGGCCAAATTAGGGCCAGGACAGGGTCAGGACCAGGGCTGGGTCAGTGTATGGCCTTAAGTATTGAAGGGCCAGGGCCAGGGTCCATGCCAGTGCCAGCGCCGGTCTAGGGCAGAGGCAGGGCTATGGCCAGGTCTAGGACAAGGCTGGGGCAGGGCCAAGTTCTGGGTCAGGGTCAGCACAAGACCAGGACAGAGCCAGGAGAGGGACAAGGCTGTGGTCGGGCCAGGTTAACTCAGGGACAAGACACCTGAAAATCCACTTCAGGGCCAGGGTCAGGGCAGCACCAGTTCAGGGCCAGGGCCAAGACAGGGCCAGGGCCAGAGCTGTCAGGGTTATTGGCAGGGCAAGGGCCATGGCAGGACCAGGGTCAGGAGCAGGGGTCAATGCCAGGCCAAGGCCACAGATAGGACCAGGTCTGTGCTAGGGCCAGTGTGAGAGCCAAGGCAGGGTCAGGGCAGGGCCAAAGGGAGGGCAGGGCCAGGGCAGGGTGGAGCAGGCCCAGGGTAGCACAGGGTTAAGGTAGGGCACGACCAACCAGGGCAGGTCTATGGCTGGGGCTGTGGCAGGGCCACGTCCAGGGCAGGGCCAGAGCCAGGGCAGGGCCAAGACAGTGGCAGCTCCAGGGCAGGGCCAGGGTTAGGACCACGGACATTTCCAAGGCCAGTGCCAGGGCAAGGGCAAGGGCAGGGCAGGGCCAGGTTCATCTAAGAACCAGGGACAAAGCCAGGCCCACAGCAGGGCCAGGACAAGCACCTGGCAGGGCTAGCATCTGGGACAGGGCCATGGCAGGGCCAGGGCCACAAGCAGGTCTGTGCTATGGCCAGGTCCAACACAGTGCCCAAGTAAGGCTAGGGTGAAGGTCAAGGTAGGGCCAGGGCAGGGTCAAAGCCAGGCTAGGGCCAAGGCAGGGGCAGGGCCGGAAGGCAGGGCCAGGAAAGCATAGGGCCAAGGCAGGGCAGGGCCAGGCCAGTGCCAAGACCTGGGCAGGGCCAGGGAACAGCCAGGGCAGGGCCAGGGCCAGGGCCATGGCCATGGCCTGGGCAGGTCCAGGTTTGGGGCAGGAGCAAAACAAGGGCAAGGACAGTGCAGGATCTTGGCACAGCCAGGGTCCAGGATAGTGTCAGGGCAGGGCCAAGGCAGGGTCTGGGCCATGGTAAGACCAGCAACAGGGCTGGGGCTAGGCCAGTGACAGGACCAGAGTCAGAGCAAGGGCCAGAGCAGTGCAAGGCCAGGGTAGGGCCAGGCATTTCAGGGTCAGGGCCAGGGGAGAACCAGGACAAGGTCTCAAGCAGGGAAGGGCCAGGGCCAGGGCCAGGACAGGTCCAGGGCAGGGCCATGACAGGGTCAGGGGCTGCGTTAGGGCAAGGGCAGGGCCAGAGCAAGGTAAGGGTCAGGGCCAAGGCTGGGGTAGGGACAGGGCAAGAAATATGTCAGGACCAGGGGCAATGCCAAGGCCAAGGCTGGGCCAGGGCTGAGCCAGGCCAGAGTCAGGGCAGGGCAGGGCAGGGCATGGTATGACCAGTGCAGGACAGGACAAGAGCCGGTCCACAGAGAGAGCAGGGCTGATGCCAAGAAAAAGCCACGCTAGTGTCAAGGCTGAGGAAGTGTCAGAGCATATCCAGGGCAGGGCTGGGTCCAGGGCCAGAATCGAGCCAGGGCACAGCCAAGGCAGGGTAGGGCAGGGAAATAGCAGCAGGGCCTAGCGAAGACTAGGGTGAGGGCTAAGGTAAGGCCAGGGCAGGGTCAAAGGCAGAGTAGGGCCAGGGCAGCATGATGACACATCCAGAGCACAGCAGGGCAGGGTGATGGCAAGACCAGGGGCAGACCACTGCCAGCTCAGGGCCAGGGAAAGGCCAGTGCAGGGCCAGGAAAGGGTCTGGGTCTGGGTCAGGGCCAGGAACAAGGCAGAGGAGGGCCAGGGCCATGGCAGAGTCAGGGCAGGTCCTTGACAGGACCAGGTTCCAGGCCAGGGCCAGGGCAGCAGCAGGGGCAGGGCCTGGATAAGGGTAGGGCCAGGGATATGCCAGGACCAGGGCTAGGGCCAGGGACAGGCCATAGTGAGGGCAGGGCAAAAGCCAAGGCAGGGTCAGGGCAGGTCCAGGGAGCGGCCAGCACCAAGCGGGGCCAAGGCACAACCATTGGGTAAGGCAGGGCAATGGCACCACTGGGCCATGACAGGGCAAGGTCAGTGCCAGGAGAGGGCAGAACAGGCAGGCCCATGGTGGGGCCAGGGCAGGGATGGGCCAAAGCAGGGCCAGGACATGTCCAAGGCCAGGTCAGGGCCAGAACAGGAGCAGGACCATGACCATTGGCAGGGCCAGTGCCACGACAGGACAAGGGTCAGGACAAGGGGCAGGGCCAGAGCCAGGGCCAGAGCCAAGGTCAGGCCAGTGCAGGTTCAGGGCAGGGCCAGTGTCAGGGCAAGACCAGGGCAGGGACAGGGTATCACAGGGCCAAGACAGGGTCAGGATGGGACCAGAGCAGGACTTGGCCGAAACAGTCCAGGTAATAGTAGGGCAGGTACACGGCAAGGCAGGGCAGTACAGGGCCAGATCCATGGCAGGGGCAGGACAAAGCCAGGCCTATTGCCAATGCACCAGTCCTCCCTACAAGGCTCCTACCACCTGGCCACTGCTGCAGCCCGTCCATCACTGCAAGCCTGACCCCCAACCCTGGCTGCAGCCGCCTGCCCTCCTAGCGCGGCCGCTCTCCTACCGCTCCGGCGCACTGCAGTCTCCGTTGCTGCCACCCACCTGCAGCGAGGCGAGCCATGGTGTCGCAGGCTCTAGGTGTCTCCTCCTCCTCCTGGCATGGAGCAGCTGGGCGGGCAAAGCCAGAAAAGCCTAGAGGAAGATGTGAGGGGCGGAAGGGTTAGAGCCTCAACTTGTCATGCTGGCCACTGGGTGGCAGGGGCCAGTTTCAGCAAAGGCACTCACACCCACCCTCCAAAGTCCAGCCTCTCCTTTTGGTCCAAGCTGGCCCGGAACTGGAGTCTGGGGTGGGTGCTGGAGATACCACAGCACCCAGCTCCCCACTCCACAGGAATCATTGGGCCCACTGGGGCTGCACTCCTCGGGGAGCAGGAGAAGCAGAAAAATTCAGACCCAGCCAACCCTCCGCACCTAGGTGCCAATTCCTGTTCCAGACGCCTCCACACACAGGGCCCTGTCCCCCGTGGTGTCCCCAGGGGTGCCTGGCAGCCTCTGAGGCACAGACCCAGAGTGCACAGGCCCAGGAACCACGGTGGGTGTGGGGGCTCTGCCATGCTCAGGATTCCCACGCAAACGCTGCATGCCTGCTGCACTCCAGTATGACCAAGAGTGGGTCGCCCTCTGGAATGTGGAGTCAGGGAGAGGAGAACCACTCCTTCCTTGGATGCCAACTCTCCTGACCGCCGTCAGCAGTGCAGCCACTGATAGCACCGAACTCGCCCCCCCTCCACGGCTAGTCCTGCCCTCAATAGCGCCCCCCACCTCCGTCCCCCAATGCCACCAGTAGCGTATACCCTATAGTGCCCTAACGTGTCCTCCTCCATGGGCATTGCAGCCCCAGAAAGTGCCCATAACCCACCCTCCCTGCCGTGGGAAGTGCAGCCCTGTACAGTGCTACCAACCAGTACCCCTAATGCAGGCAATGACACCCTGCATAGCGCCCCCAACCCACCCCACACTGCAAAAGGTGCAGCCCTGGATAGCCCCTGTCCTACCACTCTGGTCGTGCTGCACACTCTGTCACCGCCACCACCAACCACAGTGAGGCAAGCCAGTGGTCCACAAGCTCTAGCACCCAGCAGCCAGGCATGGAGCAGCTCTCACCGATGGCCAGCTCCTACCACTCTGACCATGCTGCTGTCTCCCTGGCCATCTTCTTTGACTACAAAGGAATAAAACTAGGTATCAGTAAGAAGAGTAATTTTGGAAACAATACAATCACATGGAAGTTAAACACTACCCTCCTGAATAAATGACTAGCGGGTCAATGAAGATACTAAGACAGAAATTCAAAAATTTCATGAAACAAAGGGTAATGAAAACACAGTATACCAAAACTTGTTACGCAGAAAACAGTACAAAGGCAGAGATTTACACTATAAGTGCCTACCATCCAAACAAAAGAAAAACTTCAAATAAACAATACATCTTAAAGAACTAGTAAAGTAAGAACAAACTAAACCGAAATTAAGAAAATAACTAAGATCGTAGCAGAAATAAAATTGAAATAAGAAACACACAAGATTAAATGAAAAGTTGGTTTTCTGGAAAGCTAAACAAAATTGACAAACTTTTAACCAGGCTAACTAAGAAAAAAGAGACAAGATTCAAATAAAATCAACAGATTAAAAAAAAGGAGACACTACAACTAATAACTTCAGAAATTCAAAGGATCATAACTGGCTATTACATGCCAATAAATTGGAAAGCCTAGTAGAAATTGGCAAATTCCTAGATGCATAAAACCTACTTAGGTTGAATAATGAAAATATCCAAGACCAGAACAGATTGGTAACAAGTAATGAGATTGAAGCCATCAGAAAAAGTCTCCCAGTAAAGAAAAGCCCAGGAACTGATGTCTTCACTGCTGATGGCTTCACACCAAACAATTTAAAGACCTTGTACGAATCCTACTCAAACTATTTTGAAAAACAGGAGGGAATACTTCCAAACTTATTCTATGAGACCATTATTACTGTGATACCAAAATCAGACAAAGGCATCAAAGAAGGAAACTACAGGCCAGTATCTCTAATATTGATGCAAAAATCCTCAACGGAATACCAGTGAATCAAATTCAGTAATACATTAAAAAGATAATTCATCATGATCAAGTGGAATGTATCCCTGGGATGCAAGGGTCACTCAACATACAATGTGATGCATCATATCAACTAAATAAATGACAAAAACAGTATGATCATGTCAACTGAAACTGAAAAAGCATTCGATGAAATTCAACATCCCTTCATGCTATTAATCCTCAAATAAACGGGTACAGAAGAAACATACCACAACATAATAAAAACTACAGGAAAGACACCCACAGCTAGAATCATATGGAGGGAGGTCCAGGCTGCAGTGATCTGTGATCCCACCAATGCACTCCAGCCTGGGCAACAGAGTGAAACCCTGTCTTAAAAAAATATGTAAAAAGAGGTATGAGCCTCTTTTATAGGTGCAGTGACTCACATCTGTAATGCTAACACTTTCTGGGAGTCTGAGGTGAGAGGATCTCTTGAGGCCAGGAGTTCAATATCAGCCTGGGCAACATAGCGAGACCCTTCATCTACAAAAAAATTTAAATATTTGCCAGGTGTGGTTGCATGTGCCTGTATTCTTAAACAATTATCAGATGACCCAGATAGTCTATTCCTTAGGGATATACCCAAGGGAAATGAAAATATACATCCACACTAAAATTTGTACACAAATGTTCATAGCAGCATTGTTCATAATAGCCAAAAATTGGAAAAAAAACTCAAGTGCCTATCAACAGAGGAACTGATAAAATATGGTATATCCATTCAAAAGATTACTCAGCATTAGAAAAGAGTGAAGTGCTGATATACGCTACAGCATGGATAAACCTTGAAAACACTGTGCCAAGTGAAATAAGTCAATCACAAAAGACCATATGTAGTAAGATTTCATTCTGTGAAATCTCCAGAAGAGCTAAACTCAGAGACAGAAAGTAAGCTAGTTATTGCCAGGGACGAGAGGAAAAGGGAATAAGGATGACTGCTAATGGGTATGGGATTTCTTGTGGACTGATGAAAATGGTCTGAAAGTATCTAGACACCTGTCTTGTTTGTGTGATTCTGTGAACATATTATAAACCATAAAATTCTGCACTCAAGGGGTTGATTTCATGGTAGGTGAATTTATCTCATTTATCTTTATCTCAATAAAGCTTTCTAAAGAAACTTTAAAAAGACATCTGTATAACCTACAAAAATAACACACTGAGAGACTAAAATGCCTAATTTTTCCATTTTTCTTCTTCAGCGCAATCTGAAGTCAAAAAGTCTTTCCTTCCTATGTATGCATATTTTGTCCAGTGAAACAAGAAACTCTATTAATTTTTTTATTAGAAATAAAAAAAAGCCATGTGTGCTGGCTCACAGCTGTGCTTCCAGCTACTCAGAAGGCTGAGGCAGAAGGATCACTTGAGGCCAAGACTGGGAGTTCAAGACCAGCTGAGGCAACATAGCTAGATCCTGTCTTTAAAAATATTTTTTAGGCCAGGCACGGGGGCTCACGCCTGTAATCCCAGCACTTTGGGAGGCCAAGGAGGGCAGATCATTTGAGATCAGGAGTTCAAAACCAGCCTGGACAACATGGTGAAACCCCATCTCTACTAAAAATATAAAAATTAGCCAGATGTGGTGGTGGGCACCTGTAGTCCCAGCTACTTGGGAGGCTAAGGCAGGAGAATTGCTTGAGCCAGGAGGGTGGAGGCTGCAGTGAGGCCAAGATCATGCCAATGCACTCCAGCCTGGGTGACAGAGCAAGACTCTGTCTCAGGAAAAAAAAAAAAAAAATATATATATATATATATATATATATATGTATATACACACACACACACATATACATATATATGTATATATATATTTTTAAGTTAAAACCCTCCTGAAATGAAATAAAATAAAATTCGACTTAATTAAAAAATAGTTCCTGAAATATTAATTTTCAAACAATTCTATTTTAGCTTTGACTCTGAACAAAATATAAACGTCAATTTCAAAATATCACAAAGATTGGCTGGGGGCAGTGGCTCATGCCTGTAATTCCAGCACTTTGGGAGGACGAATCAGGTGGATAATTAGAGGCCAGGAGTTCCAGAGCAGCCTGGCCAACATAGGGAAACCCAGTCTCTACTAAAAAAATACAACAAAAATTACCCGGGTCTAGTAACCCCAGCTACTCAGGAGGCCGAGGCATTAGAATCGCTGGAATCTGGGAGGTGGAGGTTGTAGTGAGTGGAGATCATGCCACAGCACTCCAACCTGGGCGACAGACTGAGTCTGTCTCAAAAAAATAAAAATAAGGCCAGGTGCCGTGGTTCACGCCTGTAATCCCAGCACTTTGGGAGGCCAAGGTGGGCAGATCACTTGAGGTCAAGGAGTTTGGGACCAGCCTGGGCAACATAGTGAAACCTCCTCTCTACAGAAAATACATAAATTAGCTGGGCATCGTGGCACACACTTGTAATGCCAGCTACACCAGAGGCTGAGGCAGGGGAATCGTTTGAATTCGGGAGGTGGAGGTTGCAGTGACCTGAGATTGTGCTACTGCACTCCAGCCTGGACGACAGAGTGAGACTCCATCTCAAAAAAAAAGAAAAAAAAAGAAAAATTTAAATTTAAAATTTAAAAAAATCACAAAGACTACAAATACTCAGGTTTAAGCAAATTCCCGCCTTTCTCGAATTAACAGTAATTCATATTTGCTTTGTCAAAAATGTTGATATTTACCTGCCTCAACAGAATGAAATCCTAAAAGCCTAGTGTTCTCAAATGATGAAGAGAAAGACACATGCATATTTTAATTTAGAATTTTGATTCAGAATTAATTTTAATCTAGCTGGAGTATACATAATCGTTTATGTATTTATTTACTTATTTAAGAGACTGGGTTTCACTGTGTTATCCAGGATGGAATGCAGTGGCACAAGTTGGCTCACTGCAACTTGTACGTCCTGAGCTCAAGCGATCCTCCCACCTCAGTCTCCAGAGTAGCTGGGACTTCAAGTGCACGCTACCACACCCAGCTAATTTTTGCGGAGACGAACCTCGCTATGTTTCCCACACTGGTCTCTAAGTCCTTGGCTCACTACAGCCTCAAGCCCCTGGGCTCAAGCAATCTGCCTCCCAAAGTGATGAGATTACAGGAGTGAGCCACCGCAATCGGCCTAGTGGATAGTGTATACTAAGCAACATATACCCTGCTTTTGCCTAGAACATACTGAAAACATGGCATTAAAACAATCACAAAAGTTGGGAGCTGAGAAAAATCATATACTGTAAAACAAATCTGACAGATATTAATCTCAGGAAGCTCCTGAAAATGTCTCAAGAACTCCTATGCTGCACTCTCCCTAATAATTTAGACTTTCTACAGATATTTTCTGATCATCTACCGTGTGTCAGGCACCATGCCAGGTACCAAGATGCCATGGTGAGGAATACACAAAACCGGCTCCTGCTTGCAGGACACCTACTCTCTCAAACAGTGCTTGCCAAGCTCGACTGATCACAACTTGGGAGCTTGTTTAAGTTCCAAATCGGCTTCCCTGCTTAGGTGAGCCACAATCCGTGGCATTTTTATCAGGTGCTCCCAATGATTCCTACGCTCTAACGGGTTTGGGAGGAAAGGGTGGGGGTTAGCTCGAGAGCCCAGACCCATCCCGTCCAGCGGGGGCCCCACCTCTAAAGTCCATGTCGCTCAGCATCCTTCCCCCTGACTAGTGGCCCAAACACAGCAGGAAGCTGAGGTGGGTGGAACGCTTTCCAAAACAGCACTCTGTGATGAGCCACCGACAGACTTGCTCACCTCCGGGGACGAAGAGCTCCCTCCTCACAAACCCCACCCAGGAAAGGTAGCACCTGAGCCTCCCGGGCTGCACTGACACCTGTCTCCCCGCGGGTGCCGCCTACTGCTCCAGTGGACTCCAGTCCCCAGGTTCCGACCCACGGGGACTGGGGAGAGTGGGGGAGGCGCCGCGAGCATTAGGCGCCGACTGTATACCGACACCCCCTCTCCGGTGTGCGCAGGCCAACACCCATACACACCCTCACACACCCACACCCACTCTAGTGGAAACTGAGGCAGGCAGGCTTTGGACCAGGTCCCGCCGCCTGAAGGCTCGCAGCTGGGATGGAACCCGGACTGCGAGACGCCTTCCGCCTCACAGGCGCTCCTCAGCCTCAGGCCCGGCCTGGCTCCCACCGCCGGAGTTTCACAAAGAAAGTCTCCCGGCCCGAGCCCCTCACGCACTCACCGGCACCGACGCCGGCGGCGACTCGGGCTCCCGCCGCCTTCAGCTCCTTGTGGTGGTTGGCCCTTGGGTGGGCTCCGGCGCCAGCGGCGGCGATTGCTCCATATCCACGGGGTCCGGGCCGCATCCGCCTCGATCTAACGGTCCCGCCAGCTAGGCGCGCGCGCCGGTTCCGCGCGCCATGTTCCCGCCGTGCTGCGCACCGCCCAGGTGACCCTCGCTGCCCGCTAACCGCGCGCGCGCCCCCGCGGGCCCACACATGAACCGCGCACGCGCGCGTTAGCCGCACCCCCTCCCCGTGCGCCCCGCCTCACGCCCTCTAGAGCTGGCGGCTGTTCCCAATGCCTTGCCCACCCCTGCCGGGCCCGTCGGACTCGGCGGGTGAGTGCGTGGTTCCCCGCTCCGCACCGCCGCCTGCCTCTCTGCAGACCACCCCGGACCCAACCCCTCAGCCACTTCCCCACACTGCCCCTTTCGCTTCCCCCACCACGCGGGGCCTAGGAAGAGGGTCTGGGCCAAGAGGAACTTCCCCGCAAGAAGTACCGAGCTAAGGACGCTACTAAGGGGGCGGGATCGCCACCGTGGAGGTGTGCGAGCACATGCCTGCGTCAGGGAGACAGCCAGAGTCAACGGAGAAGCTGAGTTCAAGTCCCACATCTCCACTAACCCTTGCGTGTTAGGGTCAGGGCTTCGGGACTTGTTTCTCCTAAATCTTTTTTTTTTTTTTTTTTTTTTTGAGACAGTCTCGCTCTGTCACCCAGGCTGGAGTGCTGTGGCGCGATCTCGGCTCACTGCAAGCTCCGCCTCCTGGGTTCACGCCATTCTCCTGCCTCAGTCTCCCGAGCAGCTGAGAATACAGGCGCCTGCCACCACGCCTGCTAATTTTTGTATTTTTAGTAGAGACAGGGTTTCACGGTGTTAGCCAGGATAGTCTCCATCTCCTGACCTCGTGATCCTCCCACCTCAGCCTCCCAAAGTGCTGAGATTACAGGCGTGAGCCAGCACGCTCAGCCTGTTTCTCCTAAATCTAAAGACTCAATATAATAATCAAGAGAACGCCTCAGCACCGCGCCTAGCACTTAGTAGGTAGTGATCAAGAGAGAAGACCTCTTAAGTGGTTTTAATGGTTAAGGACCACAGGTTCTCAAGAAAGGGAAATCTCAATTCAAGTCCCACCTCCATCTCTTGGAAACTGAGAAACCTTGAACTAGTCACTCAGAGGAGCCAAAGATCCTTGATTTCTACATGTGCAAAAGGGGAGTGTGGCAGTAGCACTGCAGAGGGTTGACTGAGCTTTCAGGGTGATGATGACTATATGATCATGCCTCTCTTAATCATGGGATGGTTCTGAGAAATGCCTCCTTAGGTGACTGCAGCATTGTGCAAACAGCAAAGTGCATTTACCCAAACCTTGTATAGCCTACTACACACCTAGGCTGTATGGCGTAGCCTATTGCTCCTAGGCTACACACCCTTACAGCCTGATACTTTACTGAATATACCATAAGCAGTTGTA
Source organism: Homo sapiens (assembly GCF_000001405.40). Classification (NCBI taxonomy): domain Eukaryota; kingdom Metazoa; phylum Chordata; class Mammalia; order Primates; family Hominidae; genus Homo; species Homo sapiens. The sequence continues at coordinate 205,966 of NT_187383.1, read as the reverse complement.
ACACAATGTAAGTACTTGTGTACCTGAACATAGAGAAAATACAGTAAGAATAGAGTATAAGAGATTTTAAAATGGTACTCCTGTATAGGGCACTTACCATGAAATGAGCTTGCAGGACTGGAAGATGCTGTGGATGAGTCAGTGAGTGTGAAGGCATAGGACCTTACTGTACACTACTGTAGACTTTATAAACACCATATGCTTAGGCTACACCAAAAATTTTTAAAGCTTTTCTTCAATAAATTCACCTTAGCTTACTGAAATGTATCTTAAAAAATTTTGCCGGTCATGGTGTCTCACACCTGCAATCCCAGCACTTTGGGAGGCCAAGGCAGGAAGATCATTTGAGGTCGGGAATTCAAGACCATCCTGGCCAACGTAGTGAAACACTCATGTCTACTAAAAATACAAAACTTAGCCAGGCATGGTGGTGTGCACCTGTAATCCCAGCTACTCAGGAGACTGACACAGGAGAATCACTTGAACCCAGGAGGTGGAGGTTGCAGTGAGCCGAGATCGTGCCACTGCACTCCCGCCTGGGCAATTACACGCATGGAGATGTCATCTCCTGTGATAAGAATGCCTTCTTCTTCCAGAATACTTCCTGAAGGACCTACCTGAGGCTGTTTTATAGTTAACTATTTTTTAATGTAAGTAGAAGACATACATTCTAAAATTATGAAAAACACTAAATACACCAGGGCTGGGCACAGTGTCTCATGTGGGTAATCCCAGCACTTCAGGAGGCTGAGGCGGGCAGATGATTTGAGGTCAGGAGTTTGAGACCAGCCTGGGCAGTGTGGTGAAACCCCATCTCTGCTAAAAATACAAAGATTAGCTGGCCGTGGTGGTGGGTGCCTGTATTCCCTGCTACTCAGGAGGCTGAGGCAGAAGAATCGCTTCAACCTGTGAGGCAGAAGTTGCAGTGAGCCAAGATCGCGCCACTGCACTCCAGCCTGTGCAACAGAGCAAGACTCTGTCTCAAAAAAATAAAATAAACCAGTAACATAGTTGTTCATTATCAAGTATTATATATTGTATGTAATTGTACATGCTATGCTTTTATAGAACTGGCAGCACAGATTTGTTTACACCAGCATCACCAGAAACACAGAAATGCATTACCCTAACATTACAATGGCTATGTCACTGAGCAATAGGAATTTTTCAGCTCCATAATCGTCTTATGGTACCAGTGACTTACATGTGGTTTGTCATTGACTAAAATGTCATTATACAACACATGACTGCATATCCCAGGGCCCAATGCCTGGCACACACAAAGCTGAGTTTCACTGGTGTAATTCCCACCCTATCCATCCAAGAATCCTAAAAGTTTAATGAAAGGGGCTCTGCTCCCAAAACCCTGTGGTATAAGTAGCTGGGAGGAGTTCGCCCGACTTGGGGCTGCAAGGACTCTTTCTTCCCACCTGTTTGCTTTCCTTTCTCTCCCCCAAACTTCTCTGAAAACCCTAAAGTTGGCAGAAAAATGGAGAATGTTTTCCCTACTAACAAAAAGAATCTTCAAGAGTCTCTTGGGATTTGTAAATGGTTGCATTTACTAGTCTGTTTTTTTTGTTTTGTTTCTTTGTTTTTGTTTTTGTTTTTTTTTTGAGATGGAGTCTTGCTCTGTCACCTAGGCTGGAGTGCAGTGGCACGATCTCAGCTCACTGCAACCTCCGCCTCCCAGATGCAAGCAATTCTCCTGCCTCAGCCTCCTGAGTAGCTGGGATTAAAGGCACGCACCACCACGCCTGGCTAATTTTTTTGTATTTTTAGTAGAGACAGGATTTCACCATGTTGGTCAGGCTGATCTCAAACTCCTGACCTCATGATCCACCTGCCTTGGCCTCCCAAAGTACTGGGATTACAGGCATGAACCACTGCACCCAGCCTTCTAGTTTGGTATTTTTCTTATTCAAGTAACAAGGAAAAAAAAAATAACTCCACCAAGAGTAAAACAGAAAAAAGGAACAAAACTGATAGCATGACTGAAAAGGCCTGGGGTGGTACCTCACTTCAGGCATAGCTGGATACAGGCACTTATACAAGATAAGTCTCTCTAATCTCTCACTGCTTGCTTCCCTTTGATTACTTCATTCTCATGCAATTCTTTCCACATAGTGGCCTGAGCAGCTCCTAACTCACATCTGCGCAAGAAAGCAGAGGCTGTTCCCCAATAGTTCCAGCCAAAGTCCCAGGACTGACTTTCACTGGACCCGTTTGGGCCACATGCCCCTGCCTGAGCCAACCACCACATCCAGCCTGGCCAGACCTGGCTTTCATGAAGCTCCTTCAGGAAGCGGTTGGGGTCATCCCCTCCAGAAGGACATGGGGAAAACCAGAAAGTGGGAGGAGGGATGCTTCCTTCTGGAAAATAGGGATGCAATTACCACAAGAGGTATCAGGTACAGGGCTGGCACAAACAAGAGCTATCCACGGCACCATCATGTAGGCATGCAGCAGGTCCACCATGAAGCAACCTGGCTGCTCCGCAAAACGGAGTCACAGTTAATTCAGCCAATGAGAAATATCCCTCTACTTGGGTTCCCACCATTCACCCCAGGCCTGGCACGTCCCAAATTTCCTTGGTCAAAGGCAAGCAAATTACCCGCCTTTTATGCTGCACAAAAAGCTGAAAAGATTGTCTTACTTCTCTGGCTCAAGAACTTTCTATGACTCCCTCTGGCTACTTATGTGGCTCCCCCACCCTTAATGATAGAAGCCAACATTCATGAATCCCTTACCACATGCCAGGTACCTAATGGACCTGCCTCCTCCAAACAGCATAGAAGAGGTTGGTACTCTTACTGCACCTATTTTATAAATATGGAAACAAAGGCTCAGCAATTTGAGGTAATTTACCCAGAGACAAAGTTAGGAAGTGCAGAGTTCAGATTAGCACAATATTGTTCCCGCCATTACCATCCCAGCTCCATTTGTTCATGTTTCAAAGTCTTACACCCACCTCTAGCTAGGGGCCAGTGGGAACCGCTCCACGGCAGAAGAAGCCTCTAGGAACCCCTTCAGCTTCTGCAGTGGTGGGGCTGGGGAGTAGGTGCAAAAGATACTTAGCTTTACCATCCTCTCCCATGACTTTTTTTTTTTTTTTTTGAGATAGATTCTCACTCTGTCACCCAGGCTAGAGTGCAGTGGTGCGATCTCAGCTCACTGCAACCTCTGCTTCCTGGGTTCAAGCAATTCTCATGCCACAGCCTCTGGAGTAGCTGGGATTACAGGTGCCCACCATCACACCTGGCTAATTTTTGTATTTTTAGTAGAGATGTGGTTTCACTATGTTGGCCAGGCTAGTCTCAAACTCTGGACCTCAAGTGATCCACCCACCTCAGCCTCCCAAAGTGCTGGGATTGCTAAGCCACCATGCCTGGCCCCATCTCCCATAACTTAATGGGATAGGGAAAAGAATTCCTCCAAGATAAAATTAAAGTGAGGTTAGGAAAGGAAGTAGGTGTTTGTTAGCCTTAAGTCAGCAGCTGATTTCTCCCATTGGTGAGTCAATTAGTTTTCTATGGCTGCTGTAACAAATTACCACGATCTGATTGGCTTACAACAACACAGACTTAATATCTTATTGTTCTATAGGTCAGAAGCCTCAAATCAGTTTCACTTGGCTAAAGTCAAGTTGTAAAGTACTGATTTCTTCAGGAGGCTCTGAAGGGAAAACCCATTTTCTTGCCTTTTTCTGCTTTTAGTGGTTACCTATATTCCCTGGATTGTGGCCCTTTCCTCCATTTTTAATGCACACCACTCCAATCTCTGCACAGTGCTATGGTTTGAATGTGTTCCCCAAAGTTCATGTGTTGGAAATTTAATCCCCAATGCAAGTGTTGAGAGGTGGGACTTTTAAGAGGAGATTAGGTCATGAAAGATCTGCCCTCATTAATAGAGTAATGATGTTATCTCAGCAGAGGGTTAATTATCATGCGGATGGGTTCCTAATAAAAGGATTGAGTTCAGCCCCCTTTCTCTCTTGATGTGATACCTTCCATCATGGGATGACACAGCAAGAAGACCCTCACCAGAAGCAGGCCCTTTGATCTTGACCTTCCCAGCCTCCAGAACTGTAAGAAATAAACTTGTTCTTTATAAATTACCCAGTCTCAGATATTGCATAGCAATACAAAAAAGACTAAGACACTCAGTCACCATCGCATTGGAATCTCCCCTGACTGCTGAGTCCCTCTTAAAAGAGCACTGTAGGCTGGATGTGGTGGCTCATGCCTGTAATCCCAGCACTTTGGGAGGTCAAGGTGGGCAGATCACGAGGTCAGGAGTTCGAGACTAGCCTGGCCAACATGGTGAAACCCCATCTCTACTGGAAAAACAAAAATTAGCTGGACATGTTGGCGAGCACCTGTAATCCAGCTACTCGGGAGGCTGAGGCAAGAGAATCGCTTGAATCTTCGGAGGTGGAGTTGCAGTGAGGCAAGATTGTGCCATTGCACTCCAGCCTGGGCACCAAGAGCAAGAAACTCCGTCTCAAAAAAAAAAAAAAAAAGCACTGTGATGGGACACTGGGCCCACAGGCAACATAGGATAAGTTCCCATCTCAAGATGCTTAATCACATCTGCAAAGTCCCTTTTGTCATGGAAAGGAACATAGTCACAGATTCTGGGGATTAAGTTGAGGACACTTTGGAGGGGCCATTATTCAGCCTATCATGGAAGATATCATGAGAGGGAGTTAATACAAAATGCTCTGGAAACAGAGAAGGGCGGCCGGGCATGGTAGCTCATGCCTCTAATCCCAGTACTTTGGGAGGGAGGCGGGCAGATTGCCTGAGGTCAGGGGTTCAAGAACAGCCTGACCAACATGGTGAAATCCCATCTGTACTAAAAATACAAAAATTAGCTGGGCATGGTGGCAGGTGCCTGTAATCCCAGCTACTCGAGAGGCTGAGTCAGGAGAATCGCTTGAACCCAGGAGGCGGAGGTTGCAGTGAGCTGAGATTGCACCATTGCAGTCCAGCCTGGGTGACAAGCATGAGACTTCATCTCAATCAAAAAAGAAAAAAAAGAAAAGAAACGGGTTCCGTTGGCCAAAAGGGGGTCTGCTAAGTCGGGTGGGGGGCTTAGGATTTTATTTTTAGTTCTCAAGGGAGATAAAATAATTTAATCCATTGGCCCCTGTGACTGTGGGACTAACATGGCTATGATCTGTCGGACAGACTTCAGGCTGGCACCCAGGCAAAATTGTATGCTGTAGTAAATGCATCATGCACATTTGTAACAACACGTACATAACAATGTCACAAAATACTTTCATGGTGACACCTAGATTAGTGTTTTATTGAATAGCTGATGATATAAACTGGCTCATTTGGTGCCAAGACTGACCATCACCACCATACCAAGGTCATCACCGATCAGAGGCCTAACCCAAGGAGGGGGTCATGTGCAGGCCCAGCGGTAGGGAGGAAAGATGCCGCAGAGGAGACGGATGCCCACAGAGGCCCCTGAGCGGATACCATGCTCACTAAGTGGTAAGTATAGACTCAATGTAGGCTGTAAGCTCTCCCCCTGTGCAAATGGGACCCCATCCACTTGAGAGTCAAGGGTCTGTTTGGGTGGCAGGGTTAGCTACTTCTGAAGGTAGAAAGGAAAATAAGCCACCAAATTGGTACCTTTCTGTGAAATGGACATCGTGCTCAGAATCTCCATTTTCCCCACAACCTGGAGGAATAAGTACTGTCATCTGCATTTTATAGCTGAGGAATCTGACTGAACAAAATTGAATTACTCGCCTAAGCAATTAGCAATTAACCAAGTCTTTCTGACTCAGAAACCCAGCTGTTGCCTGTTCATATCCAGCCCCCTGTATTGGTGTCAAGATCTGGCCTGTTCTCAATGCAGCAAGATCCAGGCAGATCACACTGGACTCCCAGCACTGAATCTGGCTCAAGGGGACATCAAATTTGACTGGGTCATGGGGCTCAGGAGCATCACTCTCAAAAATAGCAGTACAGGAAGAGGCGATGGCCCTAAACAGCACTTGCAGGCAGATCCCATGTTAATTGTAAGGGTCAGGACTCTCTCACTTTTCTGTCTCTCTCTCTGTCTCTCCTCTAGGGCTGACCCCACATTGGACACCACTGCTTCCATGTCCATCACACACCACAGCTGCCTTTTCTTCTGCCTGCTTATGGGAAAGTCCCCTCCTCTCCTCCGTTTTCTTCTCTTCCTGCCCTATCACACCGTGCACTTCTCCCTTTCCTTAAAGAACCACCATCAACTTTAGGAGGAGGGAAAGGGGTGGCTCTGGCAGGAAAAGCCAGAATCCCCTCTAGCCAACAGAGAGAGAGAGGAATGGCTGCATGTTTTCTCCCTCAATCCAAGGCACTGGGTCTTGGCTGAGTTGCAGGTTCCAAGCTGCTCTCCTGCTGTGTCGGTGAGTTCTGGTCAACCTGCAACCTCCTGACGTGGCCACTGCAGTTCATCGAGTCTTCAGGGACTCCCCATGGCCTAGAGTACTTTGCCTTGCTTACACGGGAGAGGAGAATGGATTTATAGAGAACATCATCTAAATCCAACTTGACCATTGTGTGGCCACACTTGCTAGATTGCTATAGTCTAAATCTAGCATTGTAGAAAGACGGGGGAGCTTGGAGCTGCACAAACCCAGGTCTGGAAATGGCTCCTTACCTTGGAAGGTGAATGATCCTGGCAGGACTTAGCCTCCCTGGGCCTCAGTTTCTTTATCTGTTTCATGGGAATGAGGATCTCTGCTGGTTGGTTGGGTGATGCGGGGGCTGTGTGAAAACAGCTTGTCAATACAAGCCGAAATAGAAATATTTCTCCACAGAGTATGAAGGTCAAATGAGAGAATACATTTAAATTAAATGGAAAATTAAAATGGCAAAAAAGGCAAAGCTGTATTCAAAGTTCCGAGCTTCTCTATAAGGAGCTTTTTGACTATGTAAGAATCCTGTACTCGTTCCCCCTAAATACAAAAAAAAAAAAAAAAGTTGAAGGAGGCAGAAGGGAGAGTGATGCACGATGGGCGAGGACTTCACCTGCTGTTGCTGGCTTTGAGGATAGAGAAAGAAGGCCACAAACCTAGAAGCTGGAGCCCCTAGAAGCTAGAAAAGGCAGGGAGCCGATTCATCCCTTAAGCCTCCAGAAGGGACATAGCCCCGCTGGCACCTTGATTTTAGCCCAGTGAGATCCTCTTAGGAATTTTGGCAACCAGAACTATAAGACAGAAATGGAAGCCACTGAGTCTGTAGCTGTTTGTTGCAGCAGCAATAGAAAACTAATGCAGAGCCCAAGAAATCACTGGTGATGAGATGGGGAAAGTGGGCTCAGGAGGTCTGGATCTGTGATGAGATGGGGAAAGTGGGCTCAGGAGGTCTGGATCTGTGATGAGATGGGGGAAGTGGGCTCAGGAGGTCTGGATCTGAGGTGCGGATCTGGAGTGGAAGGGGAATTCATTTGTTCATTGTCTATCCTTTTGCATTGATTGAGTTTTTTTCTATATATATGTGTGAATTTTCACAATAACAGTTTTTTCCAAAATAAAATAAAAGAACAAAAGGGGCTTTTTGCAACCCAAATCCTATCTATGTCTGAGTCCACTTGTATTGAATGAGTCTTTCTGCTAACGTCCTTATATTTGGGTGACAATCTGAATGGCAGTGACCAATCAGAGCAGAGGCAAACCTTGGAGTGGGCAGGGCATCCTGAGGGCCCTGATTCCTGCCATGAGTCATAACTCTTTAGGTGCCAGACCATGGGGAGGTCCAGGGGTTGCAGGGGAGGGCTGTGCATCTGCAATGACTCTCAGGGGGCTCCTGGTGGTGGCAATTGGTGAATCTGCACAGTGGTGTTTCAATATTGTCACAACCCTGCTGTCTCTCATGCTCTCAAAAAGCATTCCTCTTACCTGTGACAGACTTCCTACACCTAACAGCTTGCAAAAGTGTTCCAGGTTAATGAGAATAATCTCTCGGAGCCATACCTCCCTGCTTGGGGTCTCAGTTTCCCCAACTGTCTCCAGACAAGTTAGGCTAGAAGGCCCCTGAGCCTCAGCCCCTCTATACCCCTCCTGTCACCCAGACCTGATCTGGGTCTTGCACCCTGGGTGCAGCATGACAGGGGTGGGCAGGGGCTGGCTCTGGGCCAGAGGACCCTTTCTGATGGACTTCAGCTGTTGGCCTTGCATGGGAGACAGATCAACCGCACAAGAGTCATACGGTGAGTAGCCGTGGGCAAATCCATCCCCCTCGTCTTAGATTTATGGGGAGACAGACAAAGAGGAGACACTCCAGGAAGACCTGCAGGTGGGAGTACCAGGTTGAAACCAAGGACACCTTCCTGGAGGAGCTGCTGCTTGAGCCAGCTCTGAGAACAGGTGGGGACAGGACTGGAGAGGAGGAGGGGGTCCCCTATGAGCAAAGACTGGCCACCACCCCACCTAACACCCCCACAGGGCCCCTGTGGCATCCCTGTCCAGTCCCTGTCACCACCCAGTTTTTCCCTCTGGACCCAGGAATTCAAAGTAAGCAAGGAGGTCCGCTGCTCCAGTTGGCTGCAAATAATTACAACCTTAAGCCCAAGCAGCACTTTGGGTCCTGGTTTGGGACCATGAAGCGACTCGGTGAGACTGAGAGGTAAGGCCAGGGCAGGAATTGGGACAGTAGGATTGAACTCTCCCTGGGGGCCAGCCTCAGAAAGCCTGTGGCCATAGCCTCTTGGCCAACATCAGATCCTGTGGTCTGGCAATGCCTGGGGTACCCAGACCTCACTCTGGACAGGCCCTGGGAGGGGGCCCTGGTGAGATTCCTGGCAGCCTCACAGCCACTCTTCTGTCCGTAGCTACAACCTATCATGCCAGCTGGAGGCTCCATCCCAGTTGGCTGGGAGCACAAAGGCCAGGAAGATAGACATCACCCACCACAGGGGCCAGTCGGGGCCTGAGCCAGGGCGGGCAGAGGTTGGCTGCCTTGGGATATGGGTGGGCTCAGGGAGTCAGACAGCAAGGGACTAGCCTCCCATCCTACTCCTGACCAGACCTGTGACTGGGGAGAGTCACCTTACTTCTCTGGGCCTCAGTTTCCCCCTCTGTGGAGTGACGCTAAATGATCTCTCTGGAGACGGGGATCAATAGGGCACTGGTGATTGACCAGGCACTCAGCACATGCCTGGAACACACAGTGCAGGACTGTGGTGGGGAGGTGGCCTGAGATCCTGGGGAGTCACCCATGTGTGCCTGCCCTTCCGACCAGCCACCAGGCCCTCAGGGCAGAGCCCACTACCAGCAGCAGCTCACACCCCGAGACCAGCTCAGAGGCGGCCCCTACCTCAGCAGCAGGGACATCACGGACACTTTAAGCTGGTACTAGGGTGGCTTCTCCAGCTCCCACGTGGAGAGGGGTCCCAGCTGAGTCCCACTCACGTGGAGTCTCATGCCCATGAAAGCGCCATTCACCACTGGCCAGGCTCATGAGGCCGCATGAGGGGGGTCACTGGGGAGGAGATATCGGGGGAACAGAGAGGATGGCTGAATTTTTGTATAATAGGCAGTGCAAGTGTTTACCGTTTGGGAGGGGAAAGGTTTGTTATTATTAGCAATGCTACACTTGAATATTATACTAAAATCCAGTCTCTCTATAACCTGGGAGTTGCTCTTTTGTTCTTTCTTTTCCTGTCTTAATTAAAATGAGATGCAGACTCTCACGGTCCACAGTCAATTAAGAAATCTTGCACGGCCATCAGGTTATGTCTTGGAGAGCAGAGTTTCAGTACCATCAGCCTGGCAAGGAGCTGGGCCTGCTCCTCAGAGCTCCCGGGACTGCGAGATTTGGCGTGTTCACAGGGCACCGTCACAGCCTCTGAAACATGCTGTCTTTAAAGACTTTTGCCGTGGCTCACTCACTCACAGTGGGACACGGTGGCTCACTCCTGTAATCCCAGCACTTTGGGAGGCAGAAGCGGGTGGCTCACTTGAGGTCAGGAGTTAAGAGACCAACATGGCCAACATGGCAAAACCCCATCTCTACTAAAAATACAAAAAATTAGCCAGGTGTGGTGTCAGGTGCCTGTAATTCCAGCTACTCAGGAGGCTGAGGTAGGAGAATTGCTTGAACCCAGGAGGCGGAGGTTGCAATGAGCAGAGGTCACACCACTGCACTCCAGTCTGGGCAACAAGAGCAAAACTTCATCTCAAAATAAAAAAACAAAACAAAACACAAAGACATTTGCAAGGACCATGTCCTCACCCAGAATGGTGCCTGCCTTTCTACAGTTTTTCAGGAAGAGGAAACATTTTCTGCTTCTCTCGCTGAGGTTTTTTTTAACCACCCATTAGGAACCTATAGATTTCAGGATCGAACACTGGGATTCCCTCAGCACTAAAGGAGGAAAATTGCAAACAGAGCTGGAAGTGCAATGTGGAAAGGTCAGGCTGAGGAAGGTTCTTAGCCAGTAGACCAAGGGCAGGAAGGACACTGCCTCCTCAGTCTCCCACTAGGGAACTTGTGATTCTTGTCCCCTGATGTCAGAATTCCTTGTCATGTTTGTTTTGTCTCCAAGGGAAGGGTTTGAATTTCAGAATTTAAGGCTAGAGTGGGCCTCGTGCAGTTAACATTAACCCTCTCTCTCCTTCGCTGGCCGAGGTGAGGTCCAGGACCATGTAGTTCTGACGTCCACTCTCTCGGGGGATCACCAGTTCACCCATCTCACCCGGCAAGCTGGGCCCTAGTTTGGCGACAGGCATCTTCCACCCACCTGGGAGGCAGGGTTCAACACTCTGCCTCTGACCTTGTTTCCTTCTTCTGCCACCTGCTTAGGCAACCAGAAGGGGTTGTCCAGCCAGCACCTGGGCTTTAGCGCTCCTCAACCAGGTGGAGGAAGTTTCAGGCACCTGGCTCCTCAGGTGTCTGCCATCCAGGTGCTCTTCAGGCTTGCCCAGCAGAGCTCTCTTGATCCAGCTAGAACTGGCCAGAACTGACTCACTCAGGAATGTGTAGACTTTGGCATCAGGGGCTGCTTTAATTTGCACAATTTCCAAATACCTCTTTTTTCTTCTTTTTCTGATGAGTCATCTCCCTAGACTTGCATTTTAAAGAGATAGATAGTTATCAGGTTCCAGAGAAGACGTGGTAGAACATTTATATCTCAAAGACACAGAGCTGAGACTTCAGGTTGAGATATGATAATTTGCCTAAACCAAAAAGGAAGGTGTAGGTAAAGTTCTAGTCAAGACAGGATGGCCAGGAAAAACACCTTAAACCAAAGGATGGCTTGCTTTGCTGATTTAAGCCAATGGCTTCTTTATCATAAGACTTCCCAGTGATTTAGTCCTCCCTCTCTTCCAGTGCACAGAGACATACCCCTCCTTACAAATTAAAAATGTTCTTTATAGATGGAAATTTATTTTACAAAAATGTTTCAAAATAACCAGATGAAAATCATCCTTATGCCAGAAAGACTTTATTTTTTTATTACTAGAAATGAAACACTAAGTATTTGTTGTATTGACATACTTAGGCTTAGACCTATGTTTAACAAGAAAGCCTTAATAATAGCACTGTGGTTAGACTCTAGCCTATTTTTCCAAACCATCATTTTATTATTAAGGAAACAAAGGATCAAATACCTTTCATTCATCTGATATGATCCTTTAAAACACATTCCACCAATAAGTCCTATTTGGAACAGCTGAAAATCTTTTAATAAAACTTTTTAAAGATGAACTCATGGCTTAGTGTAAATTTCACAAGCTTAATTAGGTCAAGTGGAAGGAACTCAGATGAGTAGTTGCCCAATCAGAGCCCATTATTTGTAAGTCATCAGCCCCCTCCATGACCTTAAAACTCCACTCTGACCTAATTATTGCAAACCTATACACAACAAAGTGAAAGGATTAATTTTCATTCATCAACCTCTCAATCCCAGATTTTCAAAGAAAAAAACCTGTGTAAGGAATACTTACCAAAACCAGACAGGAAAATTAGAGCCTGCATACTTAAGAGTCAAATTTGTTCCACTACAGCCAGGTCACATACAGTTACATCATTTGGTTCTTCATACACTCTAGAACTGACCAGGACAGAGTTTAGCATAGAAAAACTGTAAGAAATAGGTTCTGAAACATAGAAATTGCAAAGTTCAAAAGGCTATGAAAAAAACGAATGTAAATGAGACTTCCCTCCCTTTGTTTTAAATAAATAGACCCATCAGAGAAATGCAAATCAAAACCACAATGAGATACCATCTCACACCAGTTAGAATGGCGATCATTAAAAAGTCAGGAAACAACAGGTGCTGCCGAGGATGTGGAGAAATAGGAACACTTTTACACTGTTGGTGGGACTGTAAACTAGTTCAACCATTGTGGAAGACAGTGTGGCCATTCCTCAGGGATCTAGAACTAGAAATACCATTTGACCCAGCCATCCCACTACTGGGTATATACCCAAAGGATTATAAATCATGCTGCTATAAAGACACATGCACACGTATGTTTATTGTGGCACTACTCACAATAGCAAAGACTTGGAACAAACCCAAATGTCCAAAAACGATAGACTGGATTAAGAAAATGTGGCACATATACACCATGGAATACTATGCAGCCATAAAAAATGATGAGTTCATATCCTTTGCAGGGACATGGATGAAGCTGGAAACCATCATTCTTAGCAAACTATCACAAGGACAAAAAACCAAACACCGCATGTTCTCACTCATAGATGGGAATTGAACAATGAGAACACTTGGACACAGGAAGGGGAACATCACACACCAGGGCCTGTTGTGGGGTGGGGGGAGGGGGGAGGGATAGCATTAGGAGATATGCCTAATATAAATGATGAGTTAATGGGTGCAGCACACCAACATGGCACATGTATTCATATGCAACAAACCTGCACATTGTGCATGTGTACCCTAGAATTTAAAGTATAATAAAAAAATAAAAAAAGAAAGAAATAGATGTTCTGTAAAAATATACACAATTTTTACAGACAAATACATTTATAAGTTGTTTTTATCTTAAAAATTGGGGATATTTCATATTTATAACTAATTATTGAGCCTTAAGTTTTCTTGGCCATTTCTAGGCTAATAAACTAAGAATCATGTAAACTAAGCCAAAGTAGAATAGTCATAAAAGTCCTGAACACTTCAACTTCCTATTCTTCAAGAAGTATACTTGGCAAATCTCATTTGAGAGAGGAAAAGCTTTCCTCCACCCTCTGTTTTACAGCGCTGAGGCTTCTCATCACATTTCTATGACTTGTAGCTTAATCCATGTTACATGGTCACTGGCATTATTAGTGCTTCTCTTTTAACACTGTAGGAATTAATCAATTTGGTGGTGTATTTAATTAATTCTATCACTAGAGGATTGTAAAATTACATATATGAATACCTCACTTTAGAGGCCACTTAATTTTTTTCCAAGGGGATATTTGACTATATTTCACTTGTGTCTTAATGATTTTATAATTTAAACCCTAAATTATAAATCTAGAATTTAGAAAGTATATTTCCTCACTGGATTACATTTTTGGAAATATTATTTTATATGTGCACAAATATTACAAAATCACCGTAGACACCTGAAAACTATATTATCTTTTAAAGGCAATATTCTACATTAAACTGCTATAACAAAATTGTTTGGTGCATTTTTTCTAGTACATTTTGTATATATTACATGTTTAACCTTTTTTTTATCCAGCAAATAATTTTTGAGTATCCACTAAGTGCTAGGTTCTGCATGACTAACTGAATTTAAAGAGTGAAATAACAGACATGGTCTCAGACAATAAAAATTAACATTAGGTCACCTATTTATATATTTTTAAATGGTAATTATGAAAACTTTTTGAGATTTTTAACTAGATAACATTATAATAACACACTTGATGTTGTTAATATTTGCCAGTGAGCAAAAAAGAAAATAAAAAGATGGTTTTATTCAATATACACTTTAAAATTGCAGGAAATAGTCAAGTTTCTCTGCTTTGCAGTTGAATGTCTATGTGTTTTTCTCTGCAACTTGGCTTTTGTGGAGTGAGAGAAACAATTATTCTTCCAGCCCAATGAAGGCAGAAGAGTAACAATAAATCTAATATTTTAAATGCTTATCAAAAGGTAGTAAACATATTATTTCAGAATACTGAGATCAATAAGTTGACCTAGAAAAAAAGCCAAACTGACAGTATTACTGAATAAGGAAAGGCCCAAAGAGACAAAATACTTATTATTTTGTAACCTCGATATGACACAACTTACCCTAACTATAAAGACCCTAAATTACCAAGATGGGTGCTTATAATATGGAGAGTAAAAAAAGTCATTTCACTTTTAGCTTTTTTATTTCTCTCAGAATAAAAAGTGTATAAGGAGTTGATAAAGAAGTTGATACTATAAGTTAGTACTACAATGACAGCACTTTTCAAGAAAAGACTTTTTTCTCTCTTACAAATATCATGTTAGCAGTATTTGTTTTCTCCAGAAATAATGAGGAAATAAAAACATAAGTATGTGGGTAATTAGTGTAGTTTCTTAAAGAAATGAGTTAGGCAACAGGCTAATAATGTATACTTCGCTGGCTTTTGAATGCCAACAATCATATTCTTTATAAGGCACAGGGAAGATTTTTCTAAAGAACAAGTATGTGAACCTGAAAAGTAATCACCACTTGGTAGTGACAATATGGATAGGGTGAAGGGCGTCACCAAGAAGCAATGAAAAGATACATTTGCAGTTAAATTTGAAAACCATGATGTTTAATACATATAGTAATAAAGAATACTTTCTCCTGTTTCAAAATTATTTTAGAATTTAAGATAGAAGCTAAAATACCTAGGGATAATGATATGACTATCGAAAATTAAAAATTAAAGGACATTTTGAGTATTAGAAGTTAAGAATGAGAACTTATTACCCAATGAACAGGGGATAATTCATTATGCTCCATATCCATTGAATTAAAAGACAGGCCCGGCCGGGCGCGGTGGCTCACGCCTGTAATCCCAGCACTTTGGGAGGCCGAGGCGGGCGGATCACGAGGTCAGGAGATCGAGACCATCCCGGCTAAAACGGTGAAACCCCGTCTCTACTAAAAATAGAAAAAATTAGCCGGGCGTAGTGGCGGGCGCCTGTAGTCCCAGCTACTTGGGAGGCTGAGGCAGGAGAATGGCGTGAACCCGGGAGGCGGAGCTTGCAGTGAGCCGAGATCCCGCCACTGCACTCCAGCCTGGGCGACAGAGCGAGACTCCGTCTCAAAAAAAAAAAAAAAAAAAAAAGACAGGCCCATTACCTGGATAATTTGAAAGTTTAATTTTATTTAAAAGTCTTGTTTCATTCATCAAGCTAAAGGATTAGCTCCCAGAAATATTCTAGGATTGCATATCCCCAACTCTGTAGGAAGTATAGAAAGAATGTTATAAGGGCCACCACCTAAACATTATTATGTAAATAATTTAGTACCATTCCATTTGCCTTTGTAGATTTAAAAATGTAAATGGCTTTCTCATATTAGGAAACATCATTTTTCAAAACCCAGATAAACGTAGTATATTGCAAGAGAATAATTATTTTCTTTATTAAAAAAGAAATACTGGATGCTAAGTCCAAAAGACATAAATTATTTTATACTAATAACTACCAACATTTTATTCATTAAAATATAAAGGTCAAAGATTTTAAAATGATCTTTAAATGATTAATAACATGTTGATCTTTTTCTTCTTTCTGTAAACCTTTTTGAGTCTTAAAAATACTAAACTATACAAGCAATATTAAATAGTATATAAACTTGGATTAAAATATTCAAATTTACTAGAATGTGGACATTGGAAAGAATGAAAATAAACAGAAGCATAAAGCAGCAGATATAAAATTACGAAAGCAACTAAGAGTGTTTAAAGTACATATTCATCTGTAGTCTAATGTCTACCATAAACAATGACTCTTCTCAGTAAAACACAAGTCGTTCATGAAGGGAAAAAGCATGTTGTATTAGAGAATATTCAACATAACTTTTTTAGTACTAACTTGTGCCTGGAGTATTATTGGCTTTTCTATTATGAACTTATGCACTTGATATTTTTTTTCATAAAGATTGTATGTACAACTCCATTCAAAAGCAGTTTTTGGTGGTTTTTTTTTTTTTTTTTTTTTGAGACAGAGTTTTGCTCTTTTCACCCAGGCTGGAGTGCAATGGTGCGAACTTGGCTCACAGCAACCTAGCAACCTTTGCCTCCCAGGTTCAGGTGATTGTCTTGCCTCAGCCTCCTGAGTGGTTAGGACTACAAGCATGTACCACCATGCCTGGCTAATTTTGTGTTTTCAGTAGAGACATGGTTTTGCCATGTTGACCAGGCTGGTCTTGAACTCCTGACCTGAGGTAATCCGCCCACCTTGGCCTCCCAAAGTGCTGGGTATGGGCAAGAGCCACCATACCCGGCCTCAAAAGCAGTTTTTAAAAGCAAACACAATATAACACCAAAGTTGAAAAATCCAGGCTCACCCAAGGATGCCAGGTTTAATAAATTATTTATAGAACACTGCATCAAAAATAAGACAATAACCCAAAATATACCATTAAAGATGTATCCACTCCTACAACTAGAGATAATTAATCTATCTGGTAGCAAATGATACTTCAATCAGTTTCAGCATGTCTGAAATCTTTAAGGACAAAAGTGATAAAACATGACTTCATTCTTCATTAGACTCTTAGAACACTTGAAGGAAGATAATTTCTGAAGCACAAAGAGGTAAAGAGGTGTAATCTCTCAAAAAGATATTCAGTGTTCAAAATCCAAGAGTGCAATATCAGGCTGGGTGCGGTGGCTTATGCCTGTAATCCCAGCACTTTGGGAGACCATGGTGGGTGGATCACCTGAGGTCAGGAGTTCGAGACCAGCCTGGACAACAGGGTGAAACTCTGACTGTACTAAAAATACAAAAATTAGCCAGGCATGGTGGTGTGCACCTGTAGTCCTAGCTACTTGGGGGGCTGAGACAGGAGAATCGCTTGAACCTGGGAGGTGGAGGTTGCAGATCATGCCACCTCACTCCAGCATCAGTAACAGAATGAGATTCCATCTCAAAAAAAAAAAAAAAAAGAGTGTAATATCATATCGGTATACACAGATAATACACTGAATGAAAGAAATAGAATAATTTGAAGAGGTATCTTGATGAACGAGGAGTCATTAGAAAGGTTGTATTCATGTCTTTGAAGCAACTTTGCAATGTGAGAAATTAATACTTTGACTACTATACTAAAAGTTTATTGCTAACATGTATTGAGTTATTAACGTGTGTTAGGCAGAGTACCATATAATTTGCAAGTGTTATCTCATTTATTGTAGGTAAAATGTAATTTCGAACTCTGGGAGTATAAACGAATTAGATAGAATAAAATTCTATTTAAATTGCTATCAGTAAATCGGTATCTAGGAACAGGGTGATACAGTGCCCAAGTTTTCTATTCTTACTAAACGTTGTGTTTCATTTTCAATGTTTTCTTGGATATTGCTCTTTTTTGGCGACTTTGATTTTTTTTATTTTAGAAAACTAATAAATTGACTCTTCTTGGTACTGACTCTTGGGTTTTATAGAAGAAAAAGTAATTAAATTCTGTACATTTACCTTTACCTCATTTTTTCTCTTTTAAATTTACTTTGACATATAATAAATGTACATGTTATGGGGTACAGAGTGATATTTTGATATATTTATGCAATGCATAAAGATCAAGTCACAGTCATTATCACATCCATTACCTAAATCATGTATTATTTCTTTTCAGTGAGAATATTCAAAATCTTTTATTTTAGTTATTTGAAAACACACAATAAATTCCCGTTAACTACAGTCACCCAACAGTGCTGTAGAGAACTAGAACTTCTTCCTTCTCTCCACCTGTAATTTTGTATGTATTAACCACATTTTTCTTATACTCTTCTTTCTCCTACTCTTTCCAGGATATGGTAACCAAAACTCTACTATCTACTTCTACGAGATTAAAAATTTTAGCTTCCATACATAAGTGAGAACACGTAGTTATGTGGTGTTTATGTTTCTATGCCAGGCTTATTTCACCTAACATAGTGCCCTCCACTTGCATTCTTGTTGCCACAAATAACAGGATTTTGTTCTTTATTATGACTAAATAATATTCCATTATATATGTATGTCACATTTCTTTATCCATTCATCTGTTGATGGACACTTTTGTTGATTCCATATCTTGGCTATTGTGAATAGTGTTGTAATAAACATGCAGGTGCAGGTAACTCTTTGATATACTGATTTTCTTTCCTTTGGATATATACTGAAAACCATATGATCAAATTAATAAACACAATAAAAGCATTTGGCAAAATTAAATATTCTTACATGACAAAAAACCTCTTAACAATTTAGTATAGAAAATATATGCCTTAACACAGAAGGACATAAAGGACAAATCTACAGCTAAGATCATACTGAGTGTGGAAAAGGTGAAAGATTTTACTGTGAACAAGAAAAAGATTTTACTGTAACAAGAAAAGGATGCCTATTTTCACCAATCATATTTCACATAGTGAAAGTCTTAGCCAGGACAATTAGGTGAGAGAAAGAAATACAGGATATCTGAATTGGAAAGGAGACAGTCAAATTGTCCTTGTTTAAAGACAATGTGATCTTATACACGGAAAAAAATAAGATGCTACCAAAAGCTTCTTAGGGTGATACATGAAATTAATAAAGTTGCAGGATATAAATCAACATACAAAAATCAGTAGCATTTCTATATATTGATAGTAAACTAGCTGAAACAAGAAATTAAGAAAGCAATTCCTTTTACAATAGCTACAAAAATGTACTTAGAAATAAATTTAACCAAGGAAGTAAAAGATTTCTACAACAAAAATGACGAATATTAATGAAAGAAATTAAAGAAAACACAAAAAAGACATCCACGTTTATAGATTGAAATAACTAATATTCTTAAAATGACCCACTATCCTATGTAATTTACAAATTTAGTACAATCACTAGCTTGTATTTTTAAAAGCACCTTTGCTGCATATTCTTAAGATATTCAATGACAATGCCTGGATTTATGTTTGAGGTATTATTATATCTATTTTATATTGGGCACAATATAATGTTATCAGAGGTAACGGTTTTGATTGGTCCTAGGTCATACAGTAATATATACATTGTGATTTATAGACGTTATCTTTTAATACTCAGGCATTTAGAAAGTTCATTTAGACAAAGTTATAAAAACTTGCCTTCCTTTCTGCCTATATCACCTAAAAATCCTAATTTAAGAGGTAATAACATTTTTTATTTGATATACAATTTATCAACACAATAAAAATCTAACAATTATCATGTGCAGAGTGTGAAAATCTCATCAGATTAAGGAACGCAAAGACATCTTTTTCATATTTCGAATGTAAAACTCTTTTGGAAACTTATTTTTAGAAACAGTTAAAAACACTTTTTCATTAGTTTTTCATGTAAAATTGTGACAACCAGCATGAAATAACTGTCATCACAGAAGCATGGTATATTTGATTCCAAAACATATTCTTTGTAAGTTTTAATATATTTATGTATTATTTATACTTAGATTGTAACCCATAATGTAGATATTATTTTTCCTTCAACTCTTAAGAATATTCTTAAATAATAAAATTAAAATGAATTGTAATTTTTGTTGGTTGGGAAAAAGAATAGACACACACGTGACAGTGCATCACTTCACCTCATCATTTCATCTCATCATTTCATCTCATTTCATCATTTCATCTCATCATTTCATCTCATTTTATCTCATCATATCATCTCATCATTTCATCAAATCTCATCTCATTTCCATTTCATTTTCATTATTTCATTTCACTATTTCATTTAATTTCATCTAATTTCATTATGTCACTTCATATCATCTCATTTCATCTCATCATTTTTCATATCATTTTTCATCTCATCATTTCATCTCAATTCATTTCATCTCATCATTTCATCTCATCTCATCATTTCCTCCTTTCAACATTTCATCTCATCATTTCTTCTCATCTCATTTCAATTTCATTATTTCATTTCATCTCATTTCATTATTTCACCTAATCTCATTATTTCATCTCATCTCATCTCAATTCATCTCATCTCATTTCATCTCATCATTTCATCTCATCATTTTTCATCTCATTTAATCTCATTTCATTTCGTCTCATCATTTCAGCTCATCATTTCATCTCACCACATCTCTTCATTTCATCATTTCATCTCATCTCATCTTTCAATTTCATTTCAATATCATTTCCTCATTTCATCTCATTTCATTATTTCATTATTTCATTTCATCTCATTTCAATTCATCTCATTTCATCTCATCATTTTTATCTCATCATTTCATCTCATCATATCTCATCATTTCATCATTTCATCTCATTTCTTCTCATCATTTCATCTCATCAGTTTAACTCATTTCGTCTCATCTCAATTTCATTATTTCATTTCATTTCACTTTATTTCATTTCATCTCATCTCATCATTTCATCTCATCTTACCTCATTTCATCTCATCATTTCATCATTTCATCTCATTTCATCTCATCTCACCTCATCTCATTTCATCTCATCTCATCATTTCATCTCATCCTTTCATTTCATCTCCTTTCACCTCATCTCACCTCAGCATTTCATCATTTCATCTCATTTCATCTCATCTCACCTCATCTCATTTCATCTCATCTCATCATTTCATCTCATCCTTTCATTTCATCTCCTTTCACCTCATCTCACCTCAGCATTTCATCATTTCATCTCATCATTTCTTATTTCATCTCATTTTATCTCATTTCATCTCATTTCAATTTCCTTCATTATTTCATTTCATCTCATTCATTTCATCTCATTTCATTACATCTCATCATTACATCTCATCTCATCTCATCATTTCATCTCATCATTGCATCTCATCATTCATCTCATCATTTCATCTCATCTCATCATTTCCATTTCCATTTCATTATTTCATTTCATCATTTAATTTCATCATCTCATTTAATTTCACCTCATTTCATTATTTCATTTCATTATGTCATTTCATTTCATCTCATTACATTTCATCTAATTTCATTTCATCTAATTTCATCTCATTTCATCTCTTTTCATCTCATCATTTCATCTCATCATCTCATCAACTCATTTCATCTTATCATTTCATCATTTCATCTCATCTTATATCTTCTCATCTCATTTCAATTTCATTTCATTATTTCATTTCATTATTTCATGTCATGTCATCTCATCATTTCATCTCATCACATCTCATCATTTCATCATTTTATTTCATTTCATCTTATTATTTCATCTCATCTCATTTCAATTTTATTTCAATTTCATTTTATTTCATTATTTCATATCATTTCATCTCATTATTTCATTATTTCATTTCATTTCATCTCATCATTTCATCTCATCATTTCATCTCATCGTCTCCTCTTATCTCATTTCATCTCATTCACCTCATCATTTCATCTCATTATTTTATCTCACCATTTCATTTCATCTCATCTCATCATTTCATCTCATTTCATCATTACATCTTATTTCATCTCATTTTATGTCATTTCATGTCATCATTTCATCACATCTCGTCTCATCTCATCTTTTCATCTCATCATTTCATCTCATTTCAACTCATTGCATCTCATCTCATGATTTCCATTTCATCATTCCATTTCATCATTTCATTTCATTATTTCATTTCATTATGTCATTTCATCTCATCACATTTCATCTCATCTCATCATTTCATCTTTCATCTCATTATTTCATCTGATTTCATGTCATCATATCATGTCATCATTTCATCTTTCATCACATCTCATCTCATCATTTAATCTCATTTCATCTCATCATTTCATCTCATCTCATCATTTCTTATTTCATCTCATTTTATCTCATCATTTCATCTCATCTCATCTCAATTCAATTTCCTTTCATTATTTCATTTCATCTCATTCATTTCATCTCATTTCATTACATCTCATCATTACATCTCACCTCATCATTTCATCTCATCATTGCATCTCATCATTCATCTCATCATTTCGTCTCATCTCATCATTTCCATTTCATTTCCATTTCATTATTTCATCACTTAATTTCATCATCTCATTTAATTTCACCTCATTTCATTATTTCATTTCATTTTTTCATTTCATTATGTCATTTCATTTCATCTCATTACATTTCATCTAATTTCATTTCATCTAATTTCATCTCATCATTTCATCTCATCATCTCATCAACTCATTTCATCTTATCATTTCATCATTTCATCTCATCATTTCATCTCATCTCATATCTTCTCATCTCAATTTCATTTCATTATTTCATTTCATTATTTCATGTCATGTCATCTCATCATTTCATCTCATCACATCTCATCATTTCATCATTTTATTTCATCATTTCATCTTATTTCATCTCATCTCATTTCAATTTTATTTCAATTTCATTTTATTTCATTATTTCATATCATTCATCTCATTATTTCATTTCATTTCATTTCATCTCATCATTTCATCTCATCATCTCCTCTTATCATTCATCTGATCATTTCATATCATCATTTCATATCATCACTTTATCTCACCATTTCATCTCATCTCATCATTTCATCTCATTTCATTCATTACATCTTATTTCATCTCATTTTATGTCATTTCATGTCATCATTTCATCACATCTCGTCTCCTCATCTTTTCATCTCATCATTTCATCTCATTTCATCTCATCATTTCAACTCATTGCATCTCATCTCATCATTTCCATTTCATTATTCCATTTCATCATTTCATTTCATTATTTCATTTCATTATGTCATTTCATCTCATCACATTTCATCTCATCTCATTTCATCTCATCATTTCATCTCATCATTTCATCTCATTATTTCATCTGATTTCATGTCATCATTTCATCTCATTTCATCACATCTCATCATTTAATCTCATCATTTAATCTCATTTCATCTCATCTCATCATTTCATCATTTCATCTCATCATTTCTTCTCATCTCATCATTGCCATTTCATTATTTCATCATTACATTTCATAATTTCCTTTCATTATTTGATTTCATCTCATTTCATTATTTCATCTCATTTTTCATCTCATTTCATCTCATCATTTCGTCTTATCATCTCATCTTATTTCATCATTTCATCTTATCGTTCATCTCATTTCATCTCATCATTTTATCTCATTATATCATCTCATCTCATCTCAATTTCATTATTTCATATCATTTCATTTCATTATTTCATTTCATTTCTTCTCATCATTTCATCTCGTTTCATCTCATCATTTCATCCATCATCTCATTTCATGTCATCTCATCTCCTTTCAATTTCTTTTCAATTTTGTCATTTTATCTCATCATTTCATCTCATCATTTCTACTCATCATTTCATCTCAAAATTTCATCTCATCATTTCATCTCATCATTTCATCATTTCATCTCATCATTTCATCTCATCTCAAGTAACCTTATCACTTCATCTAAGTGAAATGATGTAATGGAATCATGAAATGAAATGGATAGGATGCCCTCAGTGATGTTAAATTTAAAAATTGTTTTCATGTATTCATTTTTATATTTATATGTATTTATATTTATATTTACTTATATTTCTTTTTACTTATTTTTATTTATATTTTTACTTATTTATTGGTAGACAAGGTCCTGTTCTGTGGCCTAGGCTGGAATGCAGTGGTGCATTCACAGTTCACTGCAGCCTCAAGCAAACCTCCCACCTTAGCCTCCCAGGTAGCTGGGACCCCAGGTGCGCACCACCACACCTGGTTAATATTTTATTATTTGTAGAGATGGAGTCTTGCTATGCTGCCCAGGCTGGTCTCAAACTCCTGGGCTCAAGCAATCCTCCTGCCTTCGCAACCCAAAATGCTGGGATCACAGATATGAGCCACAGTGCCCATCCTATTTATTTACTTATTTATTTATTTAATAAAGAAAAGGTCTCAATATGTTGCCCAGGCTGGTCAACTCCTGGACTCAAATGATTCTCCAAACTTGGCCTCTCAAAATGTTGGGATTACAGGTATGAGCCACCATGCCTGGCCTAAAAATAGTATTATATTTTTGCATTATATAATTTTCAATTAAGTAATATGAATATTCTGTACAGGAAATATGCCCTTAATTACATAGGAATAAACATTTGTTACACTGAGAAAAAATCTAATAGAGCTAAAAATAAAAATTAGTTTGGAGAGGTCATTAGATACTCATACATTCTTACGTTTATATATTCTTTCATATATTCATATATTCTTTTAACAGTATCAATGGTTTGGAGTTATGTGTACAAAACCATGACCTACATGTAATACAACTAATAACAAGCACTTACAATTCAAGGCATATTATATACAAAGCTTTAACTTCTCATCTTCAGATTTTGTTTTTTTTCTTTCTGTTTTGGCAGATACTATGAACACAACATTCAACTCACAGACACTATGGAGCCCTTACTAAGCATAAAGTACTGTGAAAGGCCAGGGCTAGGACAGAACTGAGACAGGGCCAGGGATAGGACAGAACCGGGGCAGGGTCATGGCCAGAGAAAAACCAGGGGCAGGGTCACAGCCAGGGACATAAGAGGACCAAGGCCAGGGCCAGAAGTAGGGCAGAACCAGGGCCAGGGCAGGGACATGGCAGGGGCAGGGCCAGGGCCATGGCAGGATCAGGGCCAGCAGAAGGCCAGGGCAGGGCTAGGGTAGCACAGGGCCAAGGCAGGGCAGGGTCAGTGTAGAGCAAGAAACGGGCCAGGGTATGGCAGGGCAGGGACAGGGAGGTCCAGGGCCAGAGTCAGGTCCAGGACATGGACAGGGCAGGGCCAGAAACATGGCAGGACCAGAAAGGGGAAAGGGCAAGGGCAAGGCCAGAGAAGGACCACAGTAAAAACATGGCCAGGGAGGGTCCAGGGCAAGGGCAAGGCCATGGCAGAACCAGAGCCAGGGCAGTCCAAAGGCAGGGCCAGGGCAGGGCCAGTGTAGGGTGAGGGTAGGGCCAGGGCAAGTTCAGGGCCAGGGCAGGACTAAGATAGCACAGGGCCAAGGCCAAGGCCCTGTACTAAGATAGCACAGGGCCAGGGCAGGGCCAAAGGAGGGGCCAGGGCCAAGCATGGCCAGTGTGCGGCCTGGGGATTGTCAGGGCCAGGGCCAGGGTCAAGGCTGAGCCAGGAACAGGGCCAGAGCAAGGGCAGGGCCAGGGAGAAGGCAGAACCAGAGAGGATCCAGAGAAAGGGCAGGGCCAGGGCAGAACCAGGACCAGGATAAGGCAAAGCCAAGGCCAGGGCAGGGCAAGGCCAGGGCAGGGCAAGACCAGGGAAGGGCAAGGCCAGGGTAGAAATGGCCAGTGTACGGCCAGGCCAGGGTAGGAAAAGGCCACGGTAGGGCCAAGGCCAAGGCGGGGCAGGGCTAGGGTAGCACAGGTCATGGCCAAAAACAGGGCAGGGCCATAGCAGTGGCAGGACTAGCAACAGGGCCAGGGTAAGCGCTGGACCAGAGCATGGTGGGGACAATACAGGGCCAGGACAGATGATGGCAAGGCAGGTCCAGGGTCATTTCATGGACTCGGTAGGCCTGGGGTCAGGCCAGGGCAGGGAAAGGGCAAGGCCAGGGAGAAGGCAGGGCCAGGGCCAAGGCACTGCCAGGGCAGGGCAGGACCAGTGCAGGGTGAGGGAAAGGCCAGGGCATGGAAGGGCAGGGCAGGACCAAGGAAGGGCCAGGAGAATGCCACGGCAGGGTCAAGGCCAGAACAAGGGTACGGGTGGGGTCAGAAATATGGTAGGGCAAGGGCTGGGCCCAGGCTGGGACATGCAGGGCAGAGCATGGCCTGTGCAAGGCAGGGCCAGAGCCAGGCCATAGAGATGGGAGGGCAACACCAAGGCAGAGTCAGGGTAGATCCAGGGCTGAGCAGAGTCAGGGCAGGTCCAGAGTCGAGGCAGAGCTAGGGCCCAAGCAGGGCCATGGCAGCACCAGGGCAGAAAAGGGCAGGGCAATGCAGGACTGGGCCATGGCAGTGCCTGGTCAACTCTGGGGCAGGGCCAGAAGCAGGACAGGGCCAGGGCCAATGCTCAGACCAGGGACAGGGCATGACAGGAAGTGCCAGAGCAGGGCTGGGCCAACGTTGGGACAGGGCAAATCAGACCAGGACACCTCCAAGTCCAGCTCTGGCCCTGCCTTGGCCCTGGCCCCTTCCTGACCTGACCTTGTCCCTGGCCCTGCCCTATCCATGCCCTGTGTGTTTGACCAGTGTTTTATAACCAGAATCCTATAAGAAACTTAAATCAGCTCTTTTTGTGCATTTTTAGTAGAGATGGGGTTTCACAATGTTGCCCAGGCTGGTTCCAAACTCCTGAGCTCAAGCCATTTGCCTGCCTTGGCCTCCCAAAGTGCTGGGATTACAGGAGTAATCTGGCCAAGTATTTAACTTCTTTATGCCTGTTTCCTACATTTGGAAAATGGGGATGCTTTAAGTACCTAGCACCTAGAATTATTGTGAGAATCAATGCCTCACATATTTACATATTGATAAAATTGTACTCATAGAACACTACTGGAAGCAAAGATAGTATTAGTTAAAATTTAGTGATTATTTACTGCAAATATTATTACTATTACAAACAACATAGTATAGACATTATTACCACTACTATAGTTATCTTAAAAATCTAAAATAAAAATTTTATGTGATAGCCTAATGTAATCTCTCCTGCTCTGCCCCGGCTCAGCCCTAGTGCCGGCTCTGCCCCTAGTCCTACCACATCACTGGCCCTGACCCTTCCCTGGTCCTGCCGCTGCCCCGGCCCTTCCCATCTTCAGGCCTTACCATGGCCCTACCCTGGTCCTGACCCTGGCCCTACCCCAGAGAAGGGGTATGGCAGAGCCAGGGAAGGGCCGGGGCAAATAAGGGACAGGACACATCCAAATCCAGGAAAGGGCCAGGGCCATGACAGAGCCAGGGCGAGTCCTTGGCAGGGCCAAGTTCCAGGCCAGGGCCAGGAAAGGGTCATGGCAGGGTCACTGTACGGCCAAGGTCCAGGCCAAAGCCAAGGCAGGGGCAGGGGCAGGCCTGCATAAGGGCAGGACCAGAGCCAGTGATACGGCAGGGCCAGGGCTGTGCCAGGACAGAACAAGAGCAGAGCAGGGCAGGACCAGAGCCAGGCCATAGAGAGAGTAGGGCAAATGCCAAGCCAAGGCCAGGGTAGTGCCAGGGCTGAGGCAAGGTCAGGGAAGGTCCAGGGCTGAGTCAAGGCTGGAACCAAGACAGGGGCAAAGGCCGGGGCAGATCTAGGGCACAAGCAGGGCAGGCTAGGGCAGGCCAATGGCAAGACCAGGCCATGGCAGGGCCAGCCCAGGATAGAACAGGGCACAGGCAGGGCGGGGCCGGGGCCACGGCTGGGGCAGGACAAGGACCAGTACTGGGGTCCAGGCCAGGGCAAAGGTATAGCCAGGGCAGAGGTAGGGCCAGAACCAGGGTCTGGGTAGGACCAAGGAGGGTCCATTGCAGGGCCAGGGTTCAGACCAGGGCCAGAACAGGGCTGGGACAGGGCCAGGGCCAGGACCAGGAAAGGGCAATGTCAGGATAAGAGCCATGGCAGGACCAGCAATGGGGCTAGGGCCAGGACAGGGACAGGGTCAGGGCTAGGGCCAGAATAGCATGCCAGGGTAGAGCCAGGCCAAATTAGGGCCAGGACAGGGTCAGGACCAGGGCTGGGACAGGGTATGGCCTTAAGTAGCAAAGGGCCAGGGCCAGGGTCCATGCCAGTGACAGCGCTGGTCCAGGGCAGAGGCAGGGCCATGGCCAGGTCAAGGACAAGGCTGGGGCAGGGCCAAGGTCTGGGTCAGGGTCAGCACGAGACCAGGACAGAGCCAGGAGAGGGACAGGGCCATGGTAGGGCCAGGTTAAATCAGGGACAAGACACCTGCAAATCCAATTCAGGGCCGGGGTCAGGGCAGGGCCAGTTCAGGGCCAGGGCCAAGACAGGGCCAGGGCCAGGGCTGTCAGGGTCATTGGCAGGGCAAGGGCCATGCAGGAGTAGGGTCAGGAGCAGGGGTCAATGCCAGGCCAACGCCACAGATAGGACCAGGTATGTGCTAGGGCCAAGGCGGGGTCAGGGCAGGGCCAAAGGGAGGGCAGGGCCAGGGCAGGTCTATGGCTGGGGCCGGGGCAGGGCCAGGGCCGGGGCAGGGCCACGACAGTGGCAGCTCCAGGACAGGGCCAGGGTTAGGACCACGGACATGTCCAAGGCCAGTGCCAGGGCAAGGACAAGGGCAGGGGCAGGGCCAGGGTCATCTAAGAACCAGGGACAAAGCCAGGCCCAGAGCAGGGCCAGGACAGGTACCTGGCAGGGCTAGGGTCTGGGGCAGGGCCATGGCAGGGCCAGGGCCACAACCAGGTCTGCGCTATGGCCAGGTACAACACAGTGCCCAGGTAAGGCTAGGATGAAGGCCAAGGTAGGGCCAGGGCAGGGTCAAAGCCAGGCTAGGGCCAAGGCAGGACCAGGGCCGTCAAGGAAGGGCCAGGAAAGCATAGGGCCAAGGCAGGGCAGGGCCAGGCCAGTGCCAAGACCTGGGCAGGGCCAGGGAACAGCCAGGGGAGGGCCAGGGCCAGGGCCTGGGCAGGACCAGGTTTGGGGCAGGAGCAAAACAAGGGCAAGGACAGTGCAGGATCTTGGCACAGCCAGGGTCCAGGACAGTGTCAGGGCAGGGCCAAGGCAGGGTCTGGGCCATGATAAGACCAGCAACAGGGCTGGGGCTAGGCCAGTGACAGGACCAGAGTCAGGGCAAGGGCCAGAGCAGTGCAAGGCCAGGGTAGGGCCAGGCATTTCAGGGTCAGGGCCAGAGGAGAACCAGGGCAAGGTCTCAAGCAGGGAAGGGCCAGGGCCAGGCCAGGGCCAGGACAGGGCCAGGACAGGTCCAGGGCAGGGCCATGACAGGGCCAGGGGCTGTGTTAGGGCAAGGGCAGGGCCAGAGCAAGGTAAGGGTCAGGGCCAAGGCCAGGGTAGGGACAGGGCAAGAAATATGGCAGGACCAGGGGCAATGCCAAGGCCAAGGCTGGGCCAGGGCTGAGCCAGGGCTGAGTCAGGGCAGGGCAGGGCAGGGCATGGTATGGCCAGTGCAGGACAGGACAAGAGCCGGTCCACAGAGAGAGCAGGACTGATGCCAAGAAAGAGCCAGGCTAGTGCCAAGGCTGAGGCAGTGTCAGAACATGTCCAGGGCAGGGCCGGGCCCAGGGCCAGAACTGAGCCAGGGCACAGCCAAGGCAGGGTAGGGCAGGGAAATAGCATGGCCGGGTCAGTACTGGGACAGGGCAGAGCAGGGCAAGGCAATGGTAGGGGCAGGGCAGGGACAGGCCAATGCAGAGCCATGTTACGCCGGGGCCAGGACACCTCCAAGTCCACTTCAGGGCCAGGGCTATGGCAGGACAAAGACCAGGGCCAGGGTCAGGGCCAGGTCTGTGCTAGGGCCAGCTCCAGAGCAGGGCCTAGCGAAGACTAGGGTGAGGGCCAAGGTAAGGCCAGGGCAGGGTCAAAGGCAGAGTAGGGCCAGGGCAGGGTGATGACACATCCAGAGCACAGCAGGGCAGGGTGATGGCCAGACCAGGGGCAGACCACTGCCAGCTCAGGGCCAGGGAAAGGCCAGTGCAGAGCCAGGAGAGGGTCAGGGCCAGGAACAAGGCAGAGCAGGGCCAGGGCCATGGCAGAGTCAGGGCAGGTCCTTGACAGGACCAGGTTCCAGGCCAGGGCCAGGGCAGCAGCAGGGGCAGGGCCTGGATAAGGGCAGGGCCAGGGGTATGGCAGGACCAGGGCTAGGGCCAGGGCCAGGCCGTAGTGAGGGCAGGGCAAAAGTCGAGGCAGGGTCTGGGCAGGTCCAGGGAGTGGCCAGCACCAAGCGGGGCCGAGGTACAACCAGTGCAGGGTAAAGCAGGGCAATGGCACCACTGGGCCATGACAGGGCAAGGTCAGTGCCAGGAGAAGGCAGAAAAGGCAGGCCCATGGTAGGGCCAGGGCAGGGATGGGCCAAAGCAAGACCAGGACATGTCCAAGGCCAGGTCAGGGCCAGAACAGGAGTAGGACCATGACCACTGGCAGGGCCAGTGCCATGACATGACCAGGGTCAGGACAAGGGGTAGGGCCAGAGCCAGGGCCAGAGCCAAGGTCAGGCCAGTGCAGGTTCAGGGCAGGGCCAGTGCCGGTTCAGGGCAGGGCCAGTGCCAGGGCAAGACCAGGGCAGGGACAGGGTAGCACAGGGCCAAGACAGGGTCAGGATGGGACCAGAGCAGGACAGGGCCGAGACAGTCCATGTAACAGTAGGGCAGGTACAGGGCAATGCAGGGCAAAGCCAGGCCCATTGCCAATGCACCAGCCTTCCCTACAAGGCTCCTACCACCTGGCCACTGCTGCAGCCCGTCCATCGCTGTAAGCCTGAGCCCCAACCCTGGCTGCAGCCGCCTGCCCTCCTAGCGCGGCCGCTCTCCTACCGCTCTGGCGCACTGCAGTCTCTGTCGCTGCCACCCACCCGCAGTGAGGCAAGTCGTGGTGTCGCAGGCTCTAGGTGTCTCCTCCTCCTCCTGGCATGGAGCAGCTGGGTGGGCAAAGCCAGAAAAGCCTAGAGGAAGATGTGAGGGGTGGAAGGGTTAGAGCCTCAACTTGTCATGCTGGCCACTGGGTGGCAGGGGCCAGTTTCAGCAAAGGCACTCACACCCACCCTCCAAAGTCCAGCCTCTCCTTTTGGTCCAAGCTGGCCAGGAACTGGGGTCTGGGGAGGGTGCTGGAGACACCACAGCACCCAGCTCCCCACTCCACAGGAACCATTGGGCCCACCGGGGCTGCACTCCTCGGGGAGCAGGAGAAGCAGAAAAATTCAGACCCAGCCAGCCCTCTGCACCCAGGTGCCAATTCCTGTTCCAGACGCCTCCACACACAGGGCCCTGTCCCCCGTGGTGTCCCCAGGGGTGCCTGGCAGCCTCTGAGGCACAGACCCAGAGTGCACAGGCCCAGGAACCATGGTGGGTGTGGGGGCTCTGCCGTGCTCAGGATTCCCACGCAAATGCTGCGTGCCTGCCGCATTCCAGTATGACCAAGAGTGGGTCGCCCTCTGGAGTGTGGAGTCAGGGAGAGGAGAACCACTCCTTCCTTGGATGCCAACTCTGCTGACCACTGCCAGCAGTGCAGCCCCTGATAGCACTGAACTCGCCCCCACTCCACGGCTAGTCCTGCCCTCAATAGCGCCCCCCACCTCCATCCCCCAATGCCGCCAGTAGCGTATACCTGATAGTGCCCTAACCTGTCCTCCTCCATGGGCATTGCAGCCCCAGAAAGTGCCCATAACCCACCCTCCCTGCCATGGGAAGTGCAGCCCTGTACAGTGCTACCAAGCAGTACCCCTAATGCAGGCAATGACACCCTGGATAGCACCCCCAACCCACCCCACACTGTGAAAGGTGCAGCCCTGGATAGCCCCTGTCCTACCACTCTGGTCGTGCTGCAGTCTCTGTCACCGCCACCACCAACCATAGTGAGGCAAGCCAGTGGGCCACAGGCTCTAGCACTCAGCAGCCAGACATGGAGCAGCTCTCGCCGATGACCAGCTCCTACCACTCTGACCACGCTGCTATCTCCGTGGCCATCTTCTTTGACTACAAAGGAATAAAACTAGATATCAATAAGAAGAGTAATTTTGGAAACAATACAATCACATGGAAGTTAAACACTACCCACCTGAATAAATGACTAGCGGGTCAATGAAGATACTAAGACAGAAATTCAAAAATTTCATGAAACAAAGGGTAACGAAAACACAGTATACCAAAACTTGTTATGCAGAAAGCAGTACAAAGGCAGAGATTTACAGCTATAAGTGCCTACCATCCAAACAAAAGAAAAACTTCAAATAAACAATACATCTTAAATAACTAGTAAAGTAAGAACAAACTAAACCAAAAATAAGAAAAATAAATAAGATCATAGCAGAAATAAAATTGAAAGAAAAAACACACAAGATGAAATGAAAAGTTGGTTTTCTGGAAAGCAAAACAAAATTGACAAACTTTTAACCAGGCTAACTAAGAAAAAAGAGACAAGATTCAAATAAATAAAATCAACAGATTAAAAAAGGCAGACATTACAACTAATACTTCAGAAATTCAAAGGATCATAACTGGCTATTATATGCCAATAAATTGGAAAGCCTAGTAGAAATTGGCAAATTCCTAGATGCATACAACCTACTTAGGTTGAACAATGAAAACATCCAAGACCAGAACAGATTGGTAACAAGTAATGAGATTGAAGCCATCAGAAAAAGTCTCCCAGTAAAGAAAAGCCCAGGAACTGATGTCTTCACTGCTGATGGCTTCACACCAAACAATTTAATGACCTAGTACAAATCCTACTCAAACTATTTTGAAAAACAGGAGGGAATACTTCCAAACTTGTTCTATGAGACCATTATTACTGTGATACCAAAATCAGACAAAGGCATCAAAGAAGGAAACTACAGGCCAGTATCTCGAATATTGATGCAAAAATCCTCAACGAAATACCAGTGAATCAAATTCAGTAAAACATTAAAAAGATAATTCATCATGATCAAGTGGGATGTATCCCTGGGATGCAAGGGTCACTCAACATACAATGTGATACATCATATCAACCAAATAAACGACAAAAACAGTATGATCATGTCAACTGAAACTGAAAAAGCATTTGATGAAATTCAATATCCCTTCATGCTATTAATCCTCAAATAAACGGGTACAGAAGAAACATACCACAACATAATAGAAACTACAGGAAAGACACCCAAAGCTAGAATCATATGGAGAGAGGTCCAGGCTGCAGTGGGCTGTGATCCCACCACTGCACTCCAGCCTGGGCAACAGAGTGAAAGCCTGTCTCAAAAAAAAAAAATACATAAAAAGAGGTATGAGCCCCTTTTATAGGTGCAGTGACTCACATCTGTAATGCTAACACTTTCTGGGAGGCTGAGGTGAGAGGATCTCTTGAGGCCAGGAGTTCAAGATCAGCCTGGGCAAAATAGCGAGACCCTTTATCTACAAAAAAATTTTAAATATTTGCCAGGTGTGGTGGCACGTGCCTGTAGTCTCAAACAATTATCATATGACCCGGATAGTGTATTCCTTAGGGATATACCCAAGGGAAATGAAAATATACATCCACACTAAAATTTGTACACAAATGTTCACAGCAGCATTGTGCATAATACCCAAAAATTGGAAAAAAAACTCAAGTGCCTATCAATAGAGGAACTGATAAAATATGGTATATCCATTCAAAAGATTACTCAGCATTAGAAAAGAGTGAAGTGCTGATATACGCTACAGCATGGATAAACCTTGAAAACACTGTGCCAAGTGAAATAAGTCAATCACAAAAGACCATATGTAGTAAGATTTCATTCTGTGAAACCTCCAGAACAGCTAAACTCAGAGACAGAAAGTAAGCTAGTTATTGCCAGGGACTAGGGGAAAAGGGAATAAGGATGACTGCTAATGGGTATGGGATTTCTTGTGGACTGATGAAAATGGTCTGAAAGTATCTAGATACCTGTCTTGTTTGTGCGATTCTGTGAACATATTATAAACCACAAAATTCTGCACTCAAGGGGTTGATTTCATGGTAGGTGCATTTATCTCATTTATCTTTATCTCAATAAAGCTTTTTAAAGACACTTTAAAAAGACATATCTGTATAAGCTACAAAAATAACACACTGAGACTAAAATGCTTAATTTTTCCATTTTTCTTCTTCAGCACAATCTCAAGTCCAAAAGTCTTTCCTTCCTATATATGCATATTTTGTCCAGTGAAACAAGAAACTCTATTAACTTTTTTATTAGAAATAAAAAAAAGCCATGTGTGCTGGCTCACAGCTGTGCTTCCAGCTATTCAGAAGGCTGAGGAAGAAGGATCACTTGAGGCCAAGACTGGGAGTTCAAGACCAGCTGAGGCAACATAGCTAGATCCTGCCTTTAAAAATATTTTTTAGGCCAGGCACGGGGGCTCACGCCTGTAATCCCAGCACTTTGGGAGGCCAAGGAGGGCAGATCATTTGAGATCAGGAGTTCAAAACCAGCCTGGACAACATGGTGAAACCCCATCTCTTCTAAAAATATAAAAATTAGCCAGGTGTAGTGGTGGGCACCTGTAGTTCCAGCTACTTGGGAGGCTGAGGCAGGAGAATTGCTTGAGCCGGGAGGGTGGAGGCTGCAGTGAGGCCAAGATCATTCCACTGCACTCCACCCTGGGTGACAGAGCAAGACTCTGTCTCAGGAAAAAAAAAAAAAAATATATATATATATATATATATATATATATATATATATATGTATATACACACATATACGCATATATGCGTATATGTATATACGCATATATGTGTGTATGTATATATATATTTTTTAGGTTAAAACCCTACTGAAATGAAACTAATAAAATAAAATTCAACTTAATTAAAAAATAGTTCCTGAAATATTAATTTTCAAACAATTCTATTTTAGCTTTGACTCTGAATAAAATATAAACGTCAATTTCAAAATATCACAAAGATTGGCTGGGGGCAGTGGCTCATGCCTGTAATTCCAGCACTTTGGGAGGACGAGGCAGGTGGATCACTAGAGGCCAGGAGTTCCAGAGCAGCCTGGTCAACATAGGGAAACCCAGTCTCTACGAAAAAAATACAACAAAAATTACCCGGGTCTAGTAACCCCAGCTACTCAGGAGGCTGAGGCATTAGAATCGCTGGAATCTGGGAGGTGGAGGTTGCAGTGAGTGGAGATCATGCCACAGCACTCCAACCTGGGCGACAGACTGAGAGTCTGTCTCAAAAAAATAAAAATAAGGCCAGGTGCTGTGGCTCACACCTGTAATCCCAGCACTTTGGGAGGCCAAGGTGGGCAGATCACTTGAGGTCAAGGAGTTTGGGACCAGCCTGGGCAACACAGTGAAACCTCCTCTCTACTAAAAATACATAAATTAGCTGGGCGTGGTGGCACACACTTGTAATGCCAGCTACACCAGAGGCTGAGGCAGGGGAATTGTTTGAATTCGGGAGGTGCAGGTTGTAGTGACCTGAGATTGTGCTACTGCACTCCAGCCTGGACGACAGAGTGAGACTCCATCTCAAAAAAAATAGAAAAAAAAAAGAAAATTTAAATTTAAAATTTAAAAAAGTCACAGAGACTACAAATACTCAGGTTTAAGCAAATTCCCACCTTTCTTGAATTAACAGTAATTCATATTTGCTTTGTCAAAAATGTAGATATTTACCTGCCTCAACGGAATGAAATCCTAAAAGCCTAGTGTTCTCAAATGATGAAGACAAAGAAACATGCATATTTTAATTTAGAATTTTGATTCAGAATTAATTTTAACCTAGCTGGAGTATACATAATCATCTATGTATTTATTTACTTATTTAAGAGACTGGGTTTCGCTGTGTTATCCAGGATGGAATGCAGTGGCACAACCTTGGCTCACTGCAACTTGTACTTCCTGAGCTCAAGCGATCCTCCCACCTCAGTCTCCAGAGTAGCTGGGACTGCAAGTGCACGTTACCACACCCAGCTAATTTTTGCGGAGACGAGCCTCACTATGTTTCCCACACTGGTCTCTAACTCCTTGGCTCACTACAGCCTCAAGCCCCTGGGCTCAAGCAATCTGCCTCCCAAAGTGCTGAGATTACAGGAGTGAGCCACCACAACCGGCCTAGTCGATAGTGTATACTAAGCAACATATACCCTGCTTTTGCCTAGAACATACTGAAAACATGGCATTAAAAACAATCACAAAAGTTGGGAGCTGAGAAAAATATACTGTAAAACAAATCTGACAGATATTAATCTCAAGAAGCTCCTGAAAATGTCTCAAGAACTCCTATGCTGCACTCTCCCTAATAATTTAGACTTTCTACAGATATTTTCTGATCATCTACCATGTGCCAGGCACCATGCCAGGTACCAAGATGCCATGGTGAGGTATACACAAAACCGGCTCCTGCTTGCGGGAAGCCTACTCTCTCAAACAGTGCTTGCCAAGCTCGACTGATCACAACTTGGGAGCTTGTTTAAGTTCCAAATCGGCTTCCCTGCTTAGGTGAGCCACAATCCGTGGCATTTTTATCAGGTGCTCCCAATGATTCCTACGCTCTAACGGGTTTGGGAGGAAAGGGTGGGGGTAAGCTCGAGAGCCCAGACCCATCCCGTCCAGCGGGGGCCCCACCTCTAAAGTCCATGTCGCTCAGCATCCTTCCCCCTGACTAGTGGCCCAAACACAGCACGAAGCTGAGGTGGGTGGAACGCTGTCCAAAACAGCGCTCTGTGATGAGCCACCGACAGACTTGCTCGCCTCTGGGAACGAAGAGCTCACTCCTCACAAACCCCACCAGGGAAAGGTAGCACCTGAGCCTCCCGGGCTGCGCGGACACCTGTCTCCCCGCGGGTGCCGCCTACTACTCCGGTGGACTCCAGTCCCCAGGTTCCGCCCCACGGGGACTGGGGGGAGGGGGGAGGCGCCGCGCGCATTAGGCGCTGACAGTATACCGACCCCCCCTCCGGTGCGCACAGGCCAACACCCATACACACCCTCACACACCCGCACACACTCCCGTGGAAACTGAGGCAGGCAGGCGGCGGACCAGGTCCCGCCGCCTGACGGCTAGCGGCTGGGATGGAACCCGGACTGCCAGACGCCTTCCGCCTCACAGGCACTCCTCAGCCGCTGAGGCCCGGCCCGGCTCCCACCGCCGGAGTTTCACAAAGAAAGTCTCCCGGCCCGAGCCCCTCACGCACTCACCGGCGCCGACGCCCGCGGCGACTGGGGCTCCCACCTCCTTCAGCTCCTTGCGGGGGTCGGCCCTGGGGTCGGCTTGGGCGCCGGCAGCGGCGACTGCTCCACATCCACCGGGTCCGGGCCGCGTCCGCCTCGAGCTAACGGTCCCGCCAGCTAGGCGCGCGCGCCAGTTCCGGGCGCCATGTTCCCGCCGTGCTGCTCGCCGCCGAGGCGACCCTCACTGCCCCCCAGCCGCGCGCGCCCCCGCGGGCCCACACACGAACCGCGCACGCGCGCGTTCGCCGCGCCCCCCTCCCTCCCCGCGCGCCCCGCCTCGCCCCTCTGGAGCTGGCCGCTGTTCCCAGTGTCTCGCCCACCCCCGCCGGGCCCGTCCGACTCCGCGGGTGAGCGCGTGGTTCCCGGCTGGGCACCGCCGCCTGCCTCTCTGCAGACCACCCCGGACCCGACCCCTCCGCCACTTCCCCACACTGCCCCTTTCGCTTCCCCCACCACGTGGGGCCTAGGAAGAGGGTCTGGGCCAAGAGGAGCTTCCCTGCAAGAAGTGCCCAGCTAAGGACGCTACTAAGGGGGCGGGATCGCCACCGTGGAGGTGTGCAAGCAGGTGCCTGCGTCCCGGAGACAGCCGACTCAACGGAGAAGCTGAGTTGAAGTCCCACATCTCCACTAACACTTGCGTGTTAGGGTCAGGGCTTCGGAACTTGTTTCTCCTAAATCTTTTTTTTTTTTTTTTGAGACAGTCTCGCTCTGTCACCGAGGCTGGAGTGCTGTGACGCGATCTCGGCTCACTGCAAGCTCCACCTCCCGGGTTCACGCCATTCTCCTGCCTCAGCCTCCCGAGCAGCTGAGACTACAGGCGCCTGCCACCACCTGCTGATTTTTGTATTTTTAGTAGAGGTGGGGTTTCAC
This sequence comes from Homo sapiens, assembly GCF_000001405.40. Taxonomy (NCBI): domain Eukaryota; kingdom Metazoa; phylum Chordata; class Mammalia; order Primates; family Hominidae; genus Homo; species Homo sapiens. The sequence goes on along the minus strand of NT_187383.1, from coordinate 168,163 downwards.
CGTGTTAGCCAGGATGGTCTCCATCTCCTGACCTCGTGATCCTCCCACCTTGGCCTCCCAAAGTGCTGAGATTACAGGCGTGAGCCAGCGCGCTCGGCCTGTTTCTCCGAAATCTAAAGACTCAATATCATAATCAAGAGAACGCCTCAGCACCGCGCCTAGCACTTAGTAGGTAGTGATCAAGAGAGAAGATCTCTTAAGTGGTTTTAATGGTTAAGGACCACAGGTTCTCAAGAAAGGGAAATCTCAATTCAAGTCCCGCCTCCATCTCTTGGAAACTGAGAAACCTTGAACAAGTCACTCAGAGGAGCCAAAGATCCTTGATTTCTACATGTGCAAAAGGGGAGTGTGGCAGTAGCACTGCACAGGGTTGACTGAGCTTTCAGGGAGATGATGACTGTACGATCATGCCTCTCTTAATCACGGGATGGTTCTGAGACATGCCTCCTTAGGTGACTGCAGCATTGTGCAAACAGCAAAGTGCATTTGCACAAACCTTGTATAGCCTTGTATAGCCTACTAAACACCTAGGCTGTATGGCCTATTGCTCCTAGGCTACACACCTGTACAGCCTGATACTTTACTGAATGTACCATAAGCAGTTGTAACGCAATGTAAGTACTTGTGTACCTGAACATAGAGAAGGTACAATAAGAATAGAGTATAAGAGAATTTAAAATGGTACTCCTGTATAGGGCACTTACCACGAAAGGAGCTTGCAGGACTGGAAGATGCTGTGGATGAGTCAATGAGTGTGAAGGCATAGGACCTTACTGTACACTACTGTAGACTTTATAAACACCATATGCTTAGGCTACACCAAAATTTTTTAAAGCTTTTCTTCAATAAATTCACCTTAGCTTACTGAAATGTATCTTAAAAATTTTGCCAGTCGTGGTGTCTCACGCCTGTAATCCCAGCACTTTGGGAGGCCGAGGCAGGCAGATCATTTGAGGTCAGGAGTTCAAGACCATCCTGGCCAACGTGGTGAAACCCTCATCTCTACTAAAAATACAAAACTTAGCCAGGCATGGTGGTGTGCACCTGCAATCCCAGCTACTCAGGAGACTGACGCAGGAGAATCGCTTGAACCTAGGAGGCGGAGGTTGCAGTGAGCCGAGATCGTGCCACTGCACTCCCGCCTGGGCAATTACATGCATGGAGATGTCCTCTCCTGTGATAACAATGCCTTCTTCTTCCAGAATACTTCCTGAAGGACCTGCCTGAGGCTGTTTTATAGTTAATTATTTTTTAATGTAAGTAGAAGACATACATTCTAAAATTATGAAAAACACTAAATACACCAGGGCTGGGCACAGTGTCTCATGTGGGTAATCCCAGCACTTCAGGTGGCTGAGGTGGGAAGATCATTTGAGGTCAGGAGTTTGAGACCAGCCTGGGCAGTGTGGTGAAACCCCATCTCTGCTAAAAATACAAAGATTAGCTGGCCGTGGTGGTGGGTGCCTGTATTCCCTGCTACTCAGGAGGCTGAGGCAGAAGAATCGCTTCAACCTGTGAGGCAGAAGTTGCAGTGAGCCAAGATTGCGCCACTGCACTCCAGCCTGTGCGACAGAGCAAGACTCTGTCTCAAAAACATAAAATAAACCAGTAACATAGTTGTTCATTATCAAGTATTATATATTGTATGTAATTGTACATGCTATGCTTTTATAGAACTGGCAGCACAGATTTGTTTACACCAGCATCACCAGAAACACAGAAATGCATTACCCTAACATTACAATGGCTATGTCACTAAGCAATAGGAATTTTTCAGTTCCATAATCGTCTTATGGTACCACTGACTTACATGTGGTTTGTCATTGACTAAAATGTCATTATACAACACATGACTGCATATCCCAGGGCCCAATGCCTGGCACACACAAAGCTGAGTTTCACTGGTGTAATTCCCACCCTATCCATCCAAGAATCCTGAAAGTTTAATGAAAGGGGCTCTGCTCCCAAAACCCTGTGGTATAAGTAGCTGGGAGGAGTTCGCCCAACTTGGGGTTGCAAGGACTCTTTCTTCCCACCTCTTTGCTTTCCTTTCTCTCCCCCAAACTTCTCTGAAAACCCTAAAGTTGGCAGAAAAATGGAGAATGTTTTCCCTACTAACAAAAAGAATCTTCAAGAGTCTCTTGGGATTTGTAAATGGTTGCATTTACTAGTCTGGTTTTTTTTTGTTTTGTTTTTTTGTTTTTGTTTTTGTTTTTTTTGAGATGGAGTCTTGCTCTGTCACCTAGGCTGGAGTGCAGTGGCACGATCTCGGCTCACTGCAACCTCCGCCTCCCAGATGCAAGCAATTCTCTTGCCTCAGCCTCCTGAGTAGCTGGGATTAAAGGCACGCACCACCACGCCTGGCTAATTTTTTTGTATTTTTAGTAGAGACAGGATTTCACCATGTTGGTCAGGCTGATCTCAAACTCCTGACCTCATGATCCACCTGCCTTGGCCTTCCAAAGTACTGGGATTACAGGCGTGAGCCACTGCACCCAGCCTTCTAGTTTCGTATTTTTCTTATTCAAGTAACAAGGAAAAAATAAATAACTCCACCAAGAGGAAAACAGAAAAAAGGAACAAAACTGATAGCATGACTGAAAAGGCCTGGGGTGGTACCTCACTTCAGGCATAGCTGGATACAGGCACTTATACAAGATAAGTCTCTCTAATCTCTCTGTGCTTGCTTCCCTTTGATTACTTCATTCTCATGCAATTCTTTCCACATAGTGGCCTGAGCAGCTCCTAACTCACATCTGCGCAAGAAAGCAGAGGCTGTTCCCCAATAGTCCCAGCCAAAGTCCCAGGACTGACTTTCACTGGACCCGTTTGGGCCACATGCCCTGCCTGAGCCAATCACCACATCCAGCCTGGCCAGACCTGGCTTTCATGAAGCCCCTTCAGGAAGCAGTTGGGGTCATCCCCTCCAGAAGGACATGGGGAAAACCAGAAAGTGGGAGGAGGGATGCTTCCTTCTGAAAAATAGGGATGCAATTACCACAAGAGGTATCAGATACAGGGCTGGCACAAACAAGAGCTATCCACAGCACCATCATGTAGGCATGCAGCTGGTCCACCATGAAGTAACCTGGCTGCTCCGCAAAATGGAATCACAGTTAATTCAGCCAATGAGAAATATCCCTCTACTTGGGTTCCCACCATTCACCCCAGGCCTGGCACGTCCCACATTTCCTTGGTCAAAGGCAAGCAAATTACCCGCCTTTTATGCTGCACAAAAAGCTGAAAAGATTATCTTACTTCTCTGGCTCAAGAACTTTCTATGACTCCCTCTGGCTACTTATGTGGCTCCCCCACCCTTAATGATAGAAGCCAACATTCATGAATCCCCTACCACATGCCAGGTACCTTATGACCTGCCTCCTCCAAACAGCATAGAAGAGGTTGGTACTCTTACCGCACCCATTTTATTAATATGGAAACAAAGGCTCAGCAATTTGAGGTAATTTACCAAGAGCCAAAGTTAGGAAGTGCAGAGTTCAGATTAGCACAATATTGTTCCCGCCATTGCCATCCCAGCTCCATTTGTTCATGTTTCAAAGTCCTACACCCACCTCTAGCTAGGGGCCAGTGGGAACAGCTCCATGGCAGAAGAAGCCTCTAGGAACCCCTTCAGCTTCTGCAGTGGTGGGGCTGGGGAGTAGGTGCAAAAGATACTTAGCTTTACCATCCTCTCCCATAACATTTTTTTTTTTTTGAGATGGAGTCTCACTCTGTCACACAAGCTGGAGTGCAGTGGTGCGATCTCAGCTCACTGCAACCTCTGCCTCCTAGGTTCAAGCAATTCTCATGCCACAGCCTCTGGAGTAGCTGGGATTACAGGTGCCCACCACCACACCTGGCTAATTTTTGTATTTTTAGTAAAGATGGGGTTTCACTATGTTGTCCAGGCTAGTCTCAAACTCCAGACCTCAAGTGATCCACCCGCCTCAGCCTCCCAAAGTGCTGGGATTGCTAAGCCACCATGCCTGGCCCCATCTCCCATAACTTAATGGGGTAGGGAAAAGAATTCCTCCAAGATAAAATTAAAGTGACGTTAGGAAAGGAAGTAGATGTTTGGTAACCTTCAATCAGCAGCTGATTTCTCCCATTGGTGAGTCAGTTAGTTTTCTATGGCTGCTGTAACAAATTACCACGAACTGATTGGCTTACAACAACACAGACTTAATATCTTATTGTTCTATAGTTCAGAAGCCTCAAATCAGTTTCACTTGGCTAAAGTCAAGTTGTAAAGGACTGATTCCTTCAGGAGGTTCTGAAGGGAAAACCCGTTTTCTTGCCTTTTTCTGCTTTTAGTGGTTACCTATATTCCCTGGATTGTGGCCCTTTCCTCCATTTTTAAAGCGTATCACTCCAATCTCTGCACAGTGCTATGGTTTGAATGTGTCCCCCAAAGTTCATGTGTTGGAAATTTAATCCCCAATGCAACACTGTTGAGAGGTGGGACCTTTAAGAGGAGATTAGGTCATGAAAGATCTTCCCTCATTAATAGAGTAATAATGTTATCTCAGCAGAGGGTTAATTATCATGGGGATGGGTTCCTAATAAAAGTATTGAGTTCAGCCCCCTTTCTCTCTTGATGTGATACCTTCCATCATGGGATGACACAGCAAGAAGACCCTCACCAGAAGCAGGCCCCTTGATCTTGACCTTCCCAGCCTCCAGAACTCTAAGAAATAAGCCTGTTCTTTATAAATTACCCAGCCTCAGATATTGCATAGCAATACAAAAAAGACTAAGACACTCAGTCACCATCGCATTGCCATCTCCCCTGACTGCTGAGTCCCTCTTAAAAGAGCACTGTAGGCTGGATGTGGTGGCTCACGCCTATAATCCCAGCACTTTGGGATGCCAAGGTGGGCAGATCACGAGGTCAGGAGTTCGAGACTAGCCTGGCCAACATGGTGAAACCCCATCTCTACTGGAAAAACAAAAATTAGCTGGACATGTTGGCGAGCACCTGTAATCCAGCTGCTCGGAAGGCTGAGGCAAGAGAATCGCTTGAACCTTGGGAGGTGGAGTTGCAGTGATCCGAGATTGCATCATTGCACTCCAGCCTGGGCACCAAGAGCAAAAAACTCCATCTCAAAAAAAAAAAAAAAAAAAGCACTGTGATGGGACACTGGGCCCACAGGCAACATAGGATAAGTTCCCATCTCAAGATGCTTAATCACATCTGCAAAGTCCCTTTTGTCATGGAAAGGAACATAGTCACAGATTCTGGGGATTAAGTTGAGGACACTTTGGAGGGGCCATTATTCAGCCTGCCATGGAAGATATCATGAGGGGGAGTTAATACAAAATGCTCTGGAAACAGAGAAGGGCGGCCGGGCATGGTAGCTCATGCCTCTAATCCCAGTACTTTGGGAGGGAGGTGGGTGGATTGCCTGAGGTCAGGGGTTCAAGACCAGTCTGACCAACATGGTGAAACCCCATCTCTACTAAAAATACAAAAATTAGCTGGGCATGGTGGCAGGTGGCTGTAATCCCAGCTACTCAGGAGGCTGAGTCAGGAGAATCGCTTGAACCCAGGAGGCGTAGGTTGCAGTGAGCTGAGATTGCACCATTGCACTCCAGCCTGGGTGACAAGCATAAGATGATTGTCACCTTCATCTCGATTAAAAAAAGAAAAAAGAAAAAAGCAACAGAGAAAAGCTGGCTAACTCTCCACAGTGGGAAAAATGTCCCAGGAAACCACAGCCTCCACATTAAATATTCAAATGAGCTAAAACCCATCTAATTGGCAATCTCAGTCTTATTCCTTTAAACATGCAAACCACCTAAATTCCCAACAAACCCCCTACACCTGGCCAGCCAAGTCTCAGAATGCTTATATACCCTTTAATAGAAATTTTCAACCACCATCCCCATTTCCTAAGGAAATGGCTGTGTGCCCTCGAGCCTGCCTTGACTGAATCACCAGTGGCCTTTGAACCACGGCACTCAATTCATGGCATGGCCAGTGAGCTACAAAGTGTCCTAGCATCGACCAAGCAAAGTTATAAAAGCAGATTCAGTGGACAATAAGGAACATTAGCTTTAGAGTCAAAAAGACCTGGGTTGGGTCCCAGCTCTGCCATTTACCAGCTGCGCGACATCAGAAAAGTTACCTTCATCCTCCAACTTTGGTTTCCTCACCTGTGACATGACAGTGGCTAGAGGACCTCATAGAATCACTGTGAGGACAAGAGCAGCCAAGGGTAAGTCTTTGCACAGGGCCTCCCCGGTCATTATTGGGTCATCAAGACATAACCGTGCCTTATCTCCACTTCAAAAACCCAAACAGCTCTCAGAAATGAGTCATTGTAGCTCATTTGGAAGAAAAGACTGATATGAGTCAATATGCAACTACCTATAATCTTTCTCTATCCCTCTTACTGTGAATATTTGCTGTGGAAATATTAACATGTTTGGTCTCCACTGGGGTAGGACTCCACATGTGTAGGACTCCACTGGGGTGCTACACATACACATAGTAGATATGCCTTACCACCTTCCGAAAATTGGGTAATTAAATTTCACAACTTATCTAGCCCAAAGGTTTCAGAGACTGTAGACCTGTATCTTTATGAGGGCAAGGATGAGAATATAACCTGGCCTGTTATTATGCACCAAGGTACCTGCTGTTCTCATGAAGATGTCAGCAGCCAGCCAGCCAGTCTCTACAAACTCCACCCCCAACCTCGCTATGCTCCTTTCCCTGGAACTTTCCAAGGGCCCTTAGAATTTGCATTCAGCTCTCACAGGCTGAGACCAGGGTGACATCCTGGGAAACCTGCCTAGTGATAGCCAAGGTGTAGCTCCAGATGAAAGGCACACAACAACTTTAAATATAAAAAAACCATTCAGGCTAGGCATAGTGGCTCACGTGTGTAATCCCAGCACTTTAAGAGACCGAGGCAGGCGGATCACCTGAGGTCAGAAGTTCAAGACCAGGCTGGCCAACGTGGCAAAACCCTGTCTCTACAAAAAAATATAAAAATTAGCTTGGCATGGTGGCGCATACCTGTAATCCCAGCTACTCAGGAGGCTGAGGCACGAGAATCGCTTGAACCTGGGAAGCAGAGGTTGCAGTGAGCCAAGCTTGCACCACTACACTTCAGGCTGGGCAACAGAGTGAGACTCCGTCTCAAATAAATAAATAATAAAGCCATTCAACTAAAGAACCGATTATCAAGCAGAAGCACAAAGCCCAGGTTCCATCAGGTTTTTTATTGTACATCAGTGACTGTGAAAAAACAATTATTTCCATAATTAATATACAAACTATAAAAAAACAGACTCAAAGAAAAGAAAGATGACAGAGTGAAAGAAGGTACATTTCTTTCATGTTCAAACCACGGAGTTCACAACACAGCAGCACACACAGCCAGGCGCTTTGTGGTCTCGGCACCCTCGGCTTCCCCTTCACGAGGCCGCTTTTGACTAGTAGAAGGCTGAAAATAAAGGAAAATGGAGAAATATTCAAAAGAAAATCACTGGCTTCTTTAAGATTATCAAAGTTCCTCAATGTACTTCCAGTAAAGTGGGGGCATTTGATGTGAAATTCTAGTACCAAAAATTACTGGTTTTCATCATTGACAACTGAGTCCTCATCACAGCCCACAACTCAGACATGCTTATCTAATGGATATTTCTCTCCCTTATGGCTTCTGACCTCTGAATGATGTATACTGAAAGCAAGTAGCATAACCAACTTCCTCTTGATCATCCTCTTCTAAATATCAAGTTTAAAAGGACTACAATACCTCTCATTTGAAGCCCCAAGTCTTGGTCTTTTGCGGGAAGACAACCTTTGTGCCTTAGTTGTTTTCCCATATACAAAATTGGGAGGAAGGCTGGGTGTGGTGACTCACACCTGTAATCCAAGCACTTTGGGAAGCCGAGGTGGGTAGGTCACTTCAGGTCAAAAGTTCGAGACAAGCCTGACCAACATGGCAAAACCCCATCTCACCTAAAAATACAAAAATTAACTGGGCACAGTGGCAGACACCTGTAGTCCCAGACACTCAGGAGACTGAGGCAGGAGAACTGCTTGAACCCAGGAGGCAGAGGTTGCAGTGAGCTGAGATTGCACCACTGCACTCTGGCCTGAGTGACAGACTAAGAGTCTGTCTCAAGAAAATAAAAATCGGGGGGGGAGAAAACAGTGGGAAAAAGGACAGCTACCATTCAACAACAACAACAACAACAAAAAAGCAGGACTGGAATTAACTTATACTCACAAAGAACTTTAAAGAACAAAATTGTAATCAAGGAATCAACTACTGACCCAAATTTTAATTTTCCAACAAATTTATATTTGAGCCTCTAATAGAGTCTTTTGAAATTGCCTTGCAGGTGACCTTTTGGATGACAATCCCTAGCTGTGCTTATCTGTCTATTATGTGTTAGATATTAAACATATCCTGCAATTTTAAATCTAAGGGTGCTGGAGTGAATCAAGTTCAAACAGAGTTTCTACTACATTATAACTGAAACAATGTTAAGCAATTGCTACTCAGGAAAATCTTGAATTTCATCATCTTTGCTAATCAGCTCCTTAAGCCCAGACTATATTTAGTGATCATCAGGAATACGAATACCTGGGCTAGAACCTGAGATAGAGCTGTGGATTCATTTTCCTCAGACAGAAGATCTTGAAACTTTCTCTTCATGTCTTCATCCTGTGAGGGAATTAAAAACATAAGTAGCTGTGTCTGAAGGATAATAAACTCCTAGAATGACAGGGCTAGCATGCCCCTGTGGAAAGAGGGAGGAAAAGATGTCCTTCCAAGAATCATCCCCTTGATGAAGCTCCCACAGCGAAGGCATTATGTATTGCCCCCCTCTACCTTCCCAGAGGAGTCCAATTAGCAGTCAATGCTCCATCAATCCTGGCTGACTCACATCCACATGCCTAAAAGCTCTCAGTGGGTCAATCACAGCCTCCAGCAGTCAAGAGTTTCTGAATTAACATCCCAGATCCTGAGAAAGGTGACAATCAGGGGGCCAGGGGCTGGGCCTGACTCCGTGCAGCTCCTCAAATCCTTCCGGGACCACTCTCCACCTGCTGCCCCTGCCATGAATGAGGCCAGTCACCCAGGCTGTCCTAACAACCAGCCCAGCACCCTAGGAAAATTCACCCAGCAGATGCCATACAAATTTTCAGAAGTACTTAAGGCCACAATATCCCAGAGCTCAGGTCTAATGAGAAAGGGAGACAATAAACATAACAAAGCATTACAGCTGTTTCATGCTGCAGGAGCGGGAGATGAGGAGGGCACAGACAGTGTGTATACGAGTAGCTCCCACCTCTCTGGATGCTTACTTCTGCAGGGTTCAAGGATTTGCATTAGGAAACCCTGAGAGGTGGTCTGGTGCAGCTCTCCCCATCTTCAGCAAGGTGAAAGGAACATCTATAAATAGGAATGTGGCCTTTGAGTGTTGGCCAGAAGCCCAGCTCAGCCACTCACAGGTGGCATGTGCGGAATACAGACCCAGAGTTATCTGATTCCAATGCCTCATGTACTTTCCCACCCAACTCCAGCCCCTCCTCCCACTGAGCCAAGCATACCACAGTGGGGAAAGGGAGAGGATACAGCAAAGTCCTCCACCATTTGGCAATTTGATGGATATGGAACTTTTACAACACTAGGTTGGGCATGGTGGCTCATGCCTATAATCCCAGCACTTTGGGAGGACAAAGTGGGAGAATTGCTTGAGGCCAGGAATTTGAGACCAGCCTGGGCAATATAGTGGGACTTTGTCACTACAAAAAAAAAAAATTAAAAATTAGGCCAGGCACGGAGGCTCACGCCTGTAATCCCAGCACTTTGGGAGGCCAAGGCGGGCAAATCACCTGAGGTCAGAAGTTTGAGATCAGCCTGGCTAACATGGTGAAACCCCGTCTCTACTAAAAATACAAAATTAGCCAGGTGTGGTAGTGCATGCCTGTAATCCCAGCTACTCAGGAGGCTGAGGCAGGAGAACCACTTGAATTCGAGAGGCAGAGGTTGCAGTAAGACAGGATCACACCACTGCACTCCAGCCTGGACAAAAGACTACGACTCTGTCTCAAAAAAAAAAAAAAATTAAATTAGCCAGACATGGTGGCATGCACCTGTAGTCTCAGCTACTTGGGAGGCTGGGGCAGGAGGATCACTTGAGCCTGAAAGTCATGGTGCAGTGATCATGCCGCTGCACTCCAGCCTAGGTGAGACAGCAAGACCCTGAGGAAGGAAGAAAGGAAAGAAGCAAGGAATTTAAAAGGGGGGGGATGAAAGAGGGGAGGGGGAAGGAAGGAGGAAGAAAGAAAGAAGGAAAGAAGGACCAGGCACAGTGGCTCACGCCTGTAATCCCAGCACTTTGGGAGGCCAAGGCGGGCAAATCACCTGAGGTCAGAAGTTTGAGATCAGCCTGGCTAACATGGTGAAACCCCGTCTCTACTAAAAATACAAAATTAGCCAGGTGTGGTAGTGCATGCCTGTAATCCCAGCTACTCAGGAGGCTGAGACAGGAGAATCACTTGAATTCGAGAGGCGGAGGTTGCAGTAAGACAGGATCACACCACTGCACTCCAGCCTGGGCAAAAGACTACGACTCTGCCTCAAAAAAAAAAAAAAAAAAAATTTAAATTAGCCAGACACGGTGGCATGCACCTGTAGTCTCAGCTACCTGGGAGGCTGGGGCAGGAGGATCACTTGAGCCTGAAAGTCATGGTGCAGTGATCATGCCACTGCACTCCAGCCTAGGTGAGAGAGCAAGACCCTGAGGAAGGAAGGAAGGAAAGAAGCAAGGAAGGAAAAAGGGAGGGGGGATGAAAGAGGGGAGGGGAAAGGAATGGAGGAGAGGGGAGGGGGAAGGAAAGAGGAAGAAAGAAAGAAGGAAAGGAGGACCAGGCACAGTGGTTCACACCTGTAATCCCAGCACTTTGGGAGGCCAAGGCAGGGCAGATCACTTGAGGTCACTCTGTTTTGAGTTACTCAGTGTAGCTCCCCATTGCCATTTGACAGCAGCAAGCTCATCTGGATTCCTCTCCGCACCCTCTCACAGCCTTACTTAGGATCTCAATTATCTTGCAGTGTCACTCTCAAAAGTCCATCTCTTGGAAGCCCTTCAGTGAAGCCAAACAGAGTGGTCACAAGCCTAATCAGGCCTATATTTAAAACAAGTAATCAGGACAGGCGCAGTGGCTCATGCCTGGAATCCCAGCACTTTGGGAGGCCAAGGTGGGTGGATCACCTGAGGTCAGGAGTTTGAGACTAGTCTGACCAACATGGTGAAACCCCATCTCTACTAAAAATACAAAAATGGGCTGGGCATTGTGGCAGGCACCTGTAATCCCAGCCACTTGGGAGTCTGATGCAGGAGAATCACTTGAACCCAGAGGTGGAGGTTGCAGTGAGTTGAGATCACACCATTGCACTTCAGCCTGGTAGGCAAAAGCGAGACTCCATCTCAAAAAAGGCAATAAATAAATAAACATTGATTTTCTTCATGATGTCTACAATTATTCCAAAATATTAAATTAGCCAGGAACAGTGGCTCGTGCCTATTATCCAAGCACTTTATGAGGCTGAGGCGGGAGGATCCCTTAAGGCCAGGAGGTCGAGGCTGCCGTGAGCTATAATTGCACCAGTGCACTCCAGTTTGGGCAACAGAAGAAGACCTTGTCTCCAACAATAAATAAAATAAAAATTAAATTATAATATCCCTTGAAAGCAAACAGAAGTAATCCTCTATTTCAGGCAGTAAATATGAGGCAGACAGTAGATGTAAGGGATGCTCCCAAAACTGGGCACTCTGTTAATGACAAAACAGAGACCAGAATCCACATTCCCAACACTCAGTCCAGCGCCAGACCCACAAAACCATTTGGTTTTTGTGAAAACACTGAATTTTCCCAAAATAAAACCCAAACTATCACTAACAGATGTTTTAGATGGTCAGTCTTCATCCTCGTCTTCATTCAATGCTCATTCCTCCTTTTACTGCAAAAACAAAAGGTGGCTAGAAGAGTATTCCAGGGAGATCCTGCAACAGAGATGAACTACACCTTCTCCTTGGTTGTTAATAAGTTTTCTTTGAGATGAAGAAGTACAAGAAAAATGGGCTGTGCTTGCTCATAAATTTCAGGCAGATGCAAACCCTGTTCCCAGGCTCAACAGGCCAGCTCTGTTTTTTTTGCTGGAGATGAACACAGCTCCTGTACCTCTACATTTAGACCCAAGAGTTTCCCTATTAGGACACATGAAAAGAGCCAAAAGACATGTTTCTCTTTTTCATCAAAATTAAAATCCCCACATGCAAAGGCACCCTTTGTTTCCAAACCCCTTTCCTCCAGGGTCCCACTGTTTCAAATCTGTGTGGTCTATTAAATGCTAAATCATCTGACAGATTTCTTCTGGGGAGACTATAGTTTCCAGCGCAACATCCAAAACACATATATCTGTCTTTTTTTTTTTTTTAAGTTTTTCTTGTTCTCAACCTGAGCTGGCCTGAGCAAAACTGTTAGGTGTAGAGTATTAGAACAGAGAATGGGGACAGTCTTCCCAGAGTCCCAGAAGTACGGGGCTGAGGCTGGATTGCCCAAGGAGTTCCTGGACCAGTAATCCCCAGAGAAACAGCATTTAGCTCAAGTAACAGCCTTTAGCTCAAGCTACGAGTTCTGTCCCCCATCTCCACAGAAAACGGATTGATACAGTTTGGCTTTATGTCCCTACCCAAATCTCATCTCAAATTGTATTATCCTGGTGGTGAGAAAGGGAACTGTTGAGAGGTGATTGTCTCATGGGGGCAGTTCCCCCCAGGCTATTCTCATGATAGTGAGTTCTCATGAGATCTGACAGTTTCATAAAAGGCTCTTCGCCCTTCACTTCCTTCACAAGCTCTCTCACCTGCTGCCATTAAGACACGCCTTCTTCCCCTTCCACCATGATTGTAAGTTTCCTGAGGCCTCCCCAGCCATGTGGAGCTGTGAGTCAATTAAACCTCCTTTCTTTATAAATTACCCAGTCTTGGGCAGTTCTTTATAGCAGTGTGAGAACAGACTAATACACAGACCAAAAGAAAATTAATAGAAAGGGGCATGGCTGTGTTGAATGGAACTGCTCATTACAGAAGACCAGACATCTATCAGAACACCTGCCCAATGCCGTAGCTAATTCCAAAACTAAAGATTAATCCAGCAAAGCCAAAACGTACTTCCAACTCTTGGCAGTTCCAAATGAGGTCAGCATTTAATAATGGCAGCCCCAACCCCTAGCAGGAGCAGAGCAGTAACACAGATGAAAAGTGCAGGTGACGGCCTTCACTAAGGACACATTTACTCACCTGAATGAACAAGCAGTGGGACCCTTTATACCCAGTCACTTGGGCTCAAGAAATAGCTGGATTCTCCCCATGGAGGCTGCCCTCCTCCCCCTCCCCCACTTCCCCGATTTAAGGTTGAAGATGGTTGGAATGCACCGCACCTATGAAGACCAGTGGACATGGCTGGGGTTAGAGCCAGAACAAGCCCTCAAAAGAACACAGGCCATACTGGAGACTTGGGACAGCCAAGTGGAACCAGAACAGGACATAAAGTGAGCTTGTACATCCAACAGCCATGAGTAACATCGAAAAGGTTGTAGCCTAGCCAACACGGCGAAACCCCATCTCTACAAAAAATACAAAAAGTAGTTGGGCTTGGTAGCATGCACCTTTAATCCCAGCTGCTTGGGAGGCTGAGGCAGGAGAATCACTTGAACCCAGGGGGCAGAGGTTGCAGTGAGCTGAGATCATGCCACTGCACTCCAGCCAGGGTGACAGAATGAGAACCTGTCTGAAAAAAGAAAAAAAAAAGACAGGTTGTAACCCATCCTCCAAGATACCCCCCATACATCTAAAACAATTAGATTAAACAGACTAAACATGTTTCTGTCCTCTGTCTCATGTCTCTCAGGCAGCAGGGCTTCCCATGTATTTTATGCTAGCAGGCACTGTCCCACACCCTCCTGAAGCCACGGTGTCTTAAGGCTTCTTCTGTCATAAAACGTGCCTTTGGATCCACTACCAACAACTTCTTGACAAGGTCCAGAGCTAAAGCAACAATTGGGCAAATCACAGTGAAAAGTATAAATATATTATCAGTAATAGTATGCCAGAATTAACAGGTCACCATCCAGAAAGAGCAGAGAGGGTCTGAGATCATCAGGGAGTCAGCAGACAGGGCCCCCTAATCTTCCTCATTCTCTGTATTCAGAGTACTGTGAGAAGGCCAGGAATGATAATGACACTCCCTGTCTCCTGCTGCTGGGACATCATTCACGACCTCTTCACCGCCTGTTCCCTCTCCTGTTGCTAGACTCAAGGTCAAACTAATTAAAGCTAAACTTCTACCCAATTCTAAGATACTTGGGATGCACAGCAAACTCTCCCTGACAGATGGATGGGTGAGAGTTACTCAGCCAGGGAGAGGCTCCCTGGAACTGCAGACTTGTCAGAAATAAAACTTGACTACTCCAGCAAGCAACAAATGCACGCTGGCCTGTATATTACAACATAATTATTCCTTAAATATTCTGACATTTAACACAATCACCTATGTTATGTTATTTAACATTCAAGACCTAGAATATTATATAGGCTAGTGAATATTATCCTTCATCTCTGGAGTATGAAAAGGAGCGTAACTGGTGAAATTGCTGGTTTTTTGTTATCTGACTAAGTGTATTAACCAAATCCAGTGAACGTTTCTGTCTGCATCGTATTCAAGATCTTTGCAGCTTTTGACGCCAATGATCACTCTCTTATTGAAACACTTGTCTTTTTTTTTCTAATTCTGAGGCACTACTTACTGGTTTTCTTCTTCCCTCACTGCTTCTTCCTTTCTTGTCTTCCATATTCCATTCTTCTTTTCCTAACTTCTAAATATGAAATATCACTCAGGACTTAGACCTGAGCCTTTTCCTCTTTTCCTTTTATATAGTTTGTCTATGTGGTCTCTTCAATATCCAAGATATCATATTTATGCATGCAACATTCTAATTCAAACATTATCTGGCCAGGCACAGTAGTTCACGCCTGTAATCCCAGCACTTTGGGGGCTGAGGCGGGCAGATCACCTGAGGTTGGGTGTTTAAACCAGCCTGGCCAACATGGTGAAACCCCATCTCTACTAAAAAATACAAAATTAACCAGACATCATGACATGCACCTGTAGTCCCAGCTACTCAAGAGGCTTAGGCAGGAGAATCGCTTGAACCCAGGAGGCAGAGGTCGCAGTGAGCCAAGATTGTGCCACTGCACTCCAGCCTCAAAATATAAATATATATATATATATAAAATCATTATAGATATAGTTGAAGCTTCCTATGTACTATTTTCCAACCTCATTCCTCTCCTTTTCCTGGAGGTACCAGCTATGCAGATAAAAGCAGAAATTAATGTCAGTAGCAGTGTGTTCATCATGTGTCTATGCCTTCATGACAAAGGAAGTTTAAAAACTTGTGTTCCTGGCTTCTGCATTGGGAAAGTAGTATTAATAATGTTAGAAATTCTCCAAACATGGGGTGACTTATTAAAACCTGCTCAGGCCAGGTGCCATGACTGATGCCTGTAATCCCAACACTTCGGGGCACCAAGGTGGAAGAATCATTTGAAGCCAAGAGTGTGAGGCTAGCTTGGGCAACATAGTGAGATTTCATCTCTACAAAATAAAAACATTTTAAAATTAGCTAGGCATTGTGGTGTGTGCCTGTAGTCCCAGCTACTCAGGAGGCTAAGGCAGAGGTTCCCTAGAACCCAGGAGGTCAAGGATGCTGTGAGATATATGATCGTGCCACTATTCCAACCCAGGCAACAGGGCAAGACCTTGTCTCCTTAAAAATAATAAAATAAAATAAAAGCTGCTTGGGCAAACTGTTAAACGTTTGCTTCTATTCCTGAGATACCCAACTGGTCCAGAATTATTTTAGAATACATTACTAGATTTACTATTATTTTATTTTAGATGTTTGTATCTAAGCTTAGTTTGGCCTCCAATTTTCTTGGATTATAATGATCTTAAATATTTATATTGCATTTATGTTAGCCTCACAAAATGAATTGAAGGTGTTCCCTCTTTTTCCATACTCTGAAATTATTTTGATATGATAGTGCTTATTTATATGTTCTTTGAATGTTTGGTAGAACTTTCATATTAAAGTATCTCATACTAGTGGGTGTTTTCTATGAGAAAGTATTTACTGATTGAATTTTTAAAAATAGATACATGAATATTCATGTGTCCCATTTCTTCTTGACTAAGTGTTTATAAGTTATAGTAGCCAACGAAGTTGTTCATTTCACTTATGTTTTTAGACTGTTGTCATATAGTCATTTATAGTATTCACTTTATTATTTTTTCACTCATATTTTATCTTACACTTCATTTTTTATTCCTAATATTGCTTATTTATACCTTCTCTTTTTAATTAATCAATGTTACCAGAAGAGTGCCTATTTTATTATTCTTTTCAAAGAATCAGCATTTGGTTTTGTGAATCTTGCCTATTGTTTCTTTGTTTTATAGTTTATTAATGTCTATTTCTACTTTTAGCCTTATTTCCTTTAATTTATTTTATTTAGGTTTACTCCAATTTTTTTTTTTTTTTTTTTTTTTTTTTTTTTTAGACAGAGTCTTGCTCTGTTGCCCAGGCTGCAATGCAGTGGCCCAATCTCGGCTCACTGCAACCTCTGCCTCCCTGGCTCAAGCAATTCTTCTGCCTCAGCCTCCCGAGTAGCTGGGATTATAGGCACCCACCACCACACCCAGCTAATTTTTGTATTTTCAGTAGAGACAGGGGTTTCACCATGTTGGCCAAGCTGGTCTTGAACTCCCGACCTCAGGTAATCCGCCCTCCTTTACCTCCCAAAGTGCTGGGATTACAGGCCTGAGCCACCATGCCCAATCTCTTTTTCTCTTTCTAAACTTCCTAAGGTGGACACTTAACTAATTTTCAGCCTATTTTTCAATATAAACATGTAAACATATAAATTACCCTTTCAGTACTGCCTCAGCTCTATCTCAGAAGTTTTGTTATGTAGTATTTCACATCCAAATATCTTCTGATTTTCATTTTCATGTCTTCTTTGACTGAAAAATTATTTAAGGTATGCCTTTAGTTTGAAGATGAAAGAAATTTACATTTTTTTCTCTAATAAATTGCATTTTGGTTACAGAGTATAGGCCACATGTTATAATGTTTGTTTATTTGTTGTGATTTGATTCATAGGCTAGCATAGGTTCAGTTCTCCTAAGACTTTATCAGGCTTCAAAGTATATATATATTCTCTAATTTGAGCATACAGCAGTCTATATATTTCCTTTAAATTAAGCTTTTTAAATACAGTGGTAAAAATCTGAGATAATCTTACTACATTTTGATTATCATTGACTCAGAGGTTTAAGTTTCTTCAAAGTTGAGGATTTAGCCATTTTTCTTTGTAATTCTGCCAATTTGTGCTTCATATATTTTACGGTTGAATTGTTACATGCATACATGTCTTTACATAATGACTTTTATTCCTCAGAATGTTTTTTTGTCTTAAATTATAGTTTTTGATATGAAAATAGCTATATCAGCCATATATTGGTTAATATTTGTTTTATTTATCATTTACTCATCTCATACCTTCAGAATTTTGTGTCTTCATGTTTTTAACTATTACGGGTTATACCTGGATTTTCACATTTTTATCCAGTCTTCAAGTGTCTGTCTTTAACTAATTTAGATGATTTAAGTTTATTGTGGTTATGGATAAATTTATATTTACTTCTGTCATCATATATTGTGCTTTCTGTTAACCATATTATTTCTCCAATTCTTTTCCCCAATGCATTCTATTAGATTGATCAAGGTTTTTCCCCTCTATTTGTTTAAAAGTTGTATGTTCTAGTTCTATTCTATTCACAATTACCCTTGAAATGTAATATGTGTACTTGAATTAACAAGTAATTTAAAAAACTAATTGTAAAATTAAAATCACTAGTTTCATCTTGAAGGATGCATTAATTTTGATCACCCTCATTCATCCCCAACTTACTGTTTTCCAGTACTTTTGTTCCAATTTATATTTTATCAGCTTTTTTGAGGTATAATACACAGCGCACAAAATTTATTTATTCTAAATGCACATTTCGATGAGTTTTGGCAAATTTATAGAGTTGTACAACAATTACAAAAATTCAGTTTTTGAATACTTACATAATCTCAAAAAGTTTCCTCTGCTTATTTGCATTAAATCCTCACTCCCACCTACCCAAGTCCCAAGTAACAAATGATCTGCTTTCTTTATAGATTTGCCTTCCATGAAAAGTTACATAGATTGGCTGGGCACAGTGGCTCATGCCTGTAATCCTAGCATTTTGGGAGGCCAAGGCGAGCAGATCACCTGAGCCCAGGAGTTCAAGACTAACCTAGGCAACATGGTGAAACCCCATCTCTACTAAAAACACAAAAATTAGCTGGGCATGGTGGCGCACCTGATAGCTACTCGAAGGCTGAAGTGTGATGGATTACGTTAATTGATTTGCGTATATTGAACCAGGCTTGCATCCCAGGGATGAAGCTGACTTGATAGTGGTGGATAAGCTTTTTGATGTGCTGCTGGATTCGGTTTGCCAGTATTTTATTGAGGATTTTTGCATTGATATTGATATTGGTCATCAGGGATATTGGTCTAAAATTCTCTTTTTTTTGTTGTGTCTCTGCCAGGCTTTGGTATCAGGATGATGCTGGCCTCATAAAATGTGTTAGGGAGGATTCCCTCTTTTTCTATTCATTGGAATAGTTTCAGAAGGAATGGTACCAGCTCCTCTTTGTATCTCTGGTAGAATTCGGCTGTGAATCCATCTAGTCCTGGACTTTTTTTGGTTGGGAGGCTAATTAATTATTGCCTCAATTTCAGAGCCTGTTATTGTTCTATTCAGGGATTCGACTTCTTCCTGGTTTAGTCTTGGGATGGTGTATTTGTCCAGGAATTTATCCATTTCTTCTAGATTTTCTAGTTTATTTGTGTAGAGGGGTTTGTAGTATTCTCTGATGGTAGTTTGTATTTCCATGTGATCAGTGGTGAAATCCCCTTTATCATTTTTTATTGCATCCATTTGATTTTTCTCTCTTTTCTTCTTTATTAGTCTTGCTAGTGGTCTATCAATTTTGTTGATCTCTTCAAAAAACCAGCTCCTGGGTTCATTGATTTTTTGAAGGGTTTTTTGTGTCTCTATCTCCTTCAGTTCTGCTCTGATCTTAGTTATTTCTTGCCTTCTGCTAGATTTCGAATTTGTGTGCTCTTGCTTCTCTAGTTCTTTTAATTGTGATGTTAGGGTGTCAATTTTAGATCTTTCTTGTTTTCTCTTGTGGTTATTTAGTGCTACAAATTTCCGTCTACACACTGCTTTAAATGTGTCCCAGAGATTCTGATATGTTGGGTCTTTGTTCTCGTTGGTTTCAAAGAACATCTTTATTTCTGCCTTCATTTCGTTATTTACCCAATAGTCATTCAGGAGCAGGTTGTTCAGTTTCCATGTATTTGTGTGGTTTTGAGTGAGTTTCTTAATCCTGAGTTCTAATTTGATGGCACTGTGGTCTGGGAGACAGTTTGTTGTGATTTCTGTTCTTTTACATTTGCTGAGCAGTGTTTTACTTCTAACTATGTGGTCAATTTTGGAATAAGTGAGATGTGATGCTGAGAAGAATGTACATTCTGTTGATTTGGGGTGGAGGGTTCTGTAGATGTCTATTAGGTCTGCTTGTTGCAGAGCTGAGTTCAAGTCCTGGAAATCCTTGTTAACATTCTGTCTCATTGATCTGTCTAATATTGACATTGGGGTGTTAAAGTCTCTCATTATTACTGTGTGGATGTCTAAGTCTCTTTGTAGGTCTCTAAGGACTTGCTTTAAGAATATGGGTGCTCCTGTATTGGGTGCATGTATAGTTAGGATAGTTAGATCTTCTTGTTGCATTGATCCCTTTACCATTATATAAAGGCTTTCTTTGTCTCTTTAATCTTTGTTGGTTTAAAGCCTGTTTTATCAGAGACTAGGATTGCAATCCCTGCTATTTTTTTCTTTCCATTTGCTTCGTAGATCTTCTTCCATCCCTTTATTTTGAGCCTATGTGTGTCTCTGCACGTTAGATGGGTCTCCTGAATACAGCACACTGATGTGTCTTGACTCTATCCAGTTTGCCAGTCTTTGTCTTTTAATTGGGGCATTTAGCCCATTTACATTTAAGGTTAATATTGTTATGTGTGAATTTGATCCTGTCATTATGATGTTAGCTGGTTATTTTGCTCATTAGTTGATGCAGTTTCTTCCTAGGATTGATGGTCTTTACAATTTGGCATGTTTTTGTGTGGCTGGTACTGGTTATTCCTTTCCATGTTTAGTGCTTCCTTCAGGAGCTCTTGTAAGGCAGGCCTGGTGGTGACAAAATCTCTCATCATTTGCTTGTCTATAAAGGAGTTTATTTCTCCTTCGCTTATGAAGCTTAGTTTGGCTGGATATGAAATTCTGAGTTGAAAATTCTTTTCTTTAAGAATGTTGAATATTGGCCCCCACTCTCTTCTGGTTTGTAGGGTTTCTGCCAAGAGACCTGCTGTTAGTCTGATGTGCTTCCCTTTGTGGCTAACCCGACCTTTCTCTCTGGTTGCTCTTAACGTTTTTCCTTTCATTTCAACCTTGGTGAGTCTGACAATTATGTGTCTTGGTGTTGCTCTTCTTGAGGAGTATCTTTGTGGTGTTTTCTGACCCTAACATCACAATTAAAAGAACTAGAAAACCAATAGCAAACACATTCAAAAGCTAGCAGAAGGCAAGAAATAACTAAGATCAGAGCAGAACTGAAGGAAATAGAGACACAAAAAACCCTTCAAAAAATTAATGAATCCAGGAGCTGGTTTTTTGAAAAGATCAACAAAATTGATAAACTGCTGGCAAGACTAATAAAGAAGAAAAGAGAGAAGAATCAAATAGACACAATAAAAAATGATAAAGGGTATATCACCACTGATGCCACAGAAATACAATCTACCATCAGAGAATACTACAAACACCTGTACACAAATAAACTAGAAAATCTAGAAGAAATGGATAAATTCCTCGACACGTACACCCTCCCAAGACTAAACCAGGAAGAAGTTGAATCTCTGAATAGACCAATATCAGGCTCTGAAATTGTGGCAATAATCAATAGCTTATCAACCAAAAACAGTCCAGGACCAGATGGATTCACAGCCGAATTCTACCAGAGGTACAAGGAGGAACTGGTACCATTCCTTCTGAAACTATTCCAATGAATAGAAAAAGAGGGAATCCTCCCTAACTCATCTTATGAGGCCAGCATCATCCTGATACCAAAGCCTGGTAGAGACACAACCAAAAAAGAGAATTTTAGACCAATATCCTTGATGAACATTGATGCAAAAATCCTCAATAAAATACTGGCAAACAGAATCCAGCAGCATAGCAAAAAGCTTATCCACCATGATCAAGTAGGCTTCATTCCTAGGATGTAAGCCTTGTTCAACATATGCAAATCAATAAATGTAATCCAGCATATAAACAGAACCAAAGACAAAAACCACATAACTATCTCAATAGATGCAGAAAAGGCCTTTGACAAAATTCAGCAACACTTCATGCTAAAAACTCTCAATAAATTAGGTATTGATGGGACATATCTCAAAATAATAAGAGCTATCTATTACAAACCCACAGCCAATATCATACTGAATGGGCAAAAACTGGAAGCATTCCCTTTGAAAACTGGCACAAGACAAGGATGCCCTCTCTCACCATTCCTATTCAACATAGTGTTGAAAGTTCTGGCCAGGGCAATTAGGCAGGAGAAGGAAATAAAGGGTATTCGATTAGGAAAAGAGGAAGTCAAATTGTCCCTGTTTGCAGATGACATGATTGTATATCTAGAAAACCCCAGTGTCTCAGCCCAAAATCTTCTTAAACTGATAAGCAACTTCAGCAAAGTCTCAGGATACAAAATCAATGTACAAAAATCACAAGCATTCTTGTACACCAATAACAGACCAACAGAGAGGCAAATCATGGGTGAACCCCCATTCACAATTGCTTCAAAGAGAATACAATACCTAGGAATCCAACTTACAAGGGACATGAAGGACCTCTTCAAGGAGAACTACAAACCACTGCTCAATGAAATAAAAGAAGATACAAACAAATGGAAGAACATTCCATGCTCATGGGTTGGAAGAATCAATATTGGAAAAAAACTACTTTAAAGTTCATATGGAACCAAAAAAGAGCCCACATCGCCAAGTCAATCCTAAGCCAAAAGAACAAAGCTGGAGGCATCACACTACCTGACTTCAAAGTATACTACAAGGCTACAGTAACCAAAACAGCATGGTACTGGTACCAAAACAGAGATATAGATCAATGGAACAGAACAGAGCCCTCAGAAATAATGCCGCATATTTACAACTATCTGATCTTTGACAAACCTGACAAAAACAAGCAATGGGGAAATGATTCCCTATTTAATAAATGGTGCTGGGAAAACTGGCTAGCCATATGTAGAAAGCTGAATCTGGATCCCTTCCTTACACCTTATACAAAAATTAATTCAAGATGGATTAAAGACTTACATGTTAGACCTAAAACCATAAAAACCCTAGAAGAAAACCTAGGCAATACCATTCAGGTTATAGTCATGGGCAAGGATTTCATGTCTAAAACATTCTCCCCATCACTTTCAAGTACACCAATCAAACTTAGATTTGGTCTTTTCACATAGTCCCATATTTCTTGGAGGCTTTGTTCATTTCTTTTTACTCTTTTTCTCTAAACTTCGCTTCTCACTTCATTTCATTTATTTGATCTTCCATCACTGATACCCTTTCTTCCACTTGATTGAATCAGCTACAGAAGCTTTTGCATGCATCATTTAGTTCTTGTGCCATGGTTTTCAGCTCCATCAGGTCATTTAAGGTCTTCTCTATGCTGTTTATTCTAGTTAGCCATTCATCTAATCTTTGTTCAAGGTTTTTAGCTTCCTTGCAATGGGTTCGAACATCCTCCTTTAGCTCAGAGAAGTTTGTTATTACTGACCTTCTAAAGCATACTTCTGTCAACTCATCAAAGTCATTCTCCATCCAGCTTTGTTCCATTGCTGGCAAGGAGCTGCAATCCTTTGGAGGAGAAGCGGCGCTCTGTTTTTTTGAATTTTCAGCTCGTCTGCTCTGGTTTCCCCCCATCTTTGTGGTTAGATCTACCTTTGGTCTTTAATGATGGTGACCTACAGATGTGGTTTTGGTGTGGATGTCCTTTTTGTTGATGTTGTTCCTTTCTGTTTGCTAGTTTTCCTTCTAACAATAAGGACCCTCAGCTGCAGGTCTGTTGGAGTTTGCTGGAGGTCCACTCCAGACCCTGTTTTCCTGAGTGTCACCAGTGGAGGCTGCAGAACAGCAAATATTGCTGCCTGATCCTTCTTCTGGAAGCTTCATCTCAGAGGGACACCTGGCTGTATGAGGTGTCAGTAAGTCCCTACTGGCAGCTCTGTCCATTCTCAGAGTTCAAACTCCATGCTGGAGAACCACTGTTCTCTTCAGAGCTGTCAGACAGGGATGTTTAAGTCTGCAGAAGTTTCTGCTGCCTTTTACTCAGCTATACCCTGCCCCCAGAGGTGGAGTCTACAGAGGCTGCCAGGCCTCATTGAGCTGCAGTGAGCTCCACCTAGTTCAGGCTTCCCAGCTGCTTTGTTTACCTACTCAAGCCTCAGCAATGGTGGACGTCCCTCCCCCAGCCCAGGCTGCCACTTTGCAGTTCGATCTCGGACTGCTGCACTAGCAGTAAGCAAGGCTGTGTGGGCATGGGACCCACCAAGCCATACATGGGATATAATCTCCTGTGTGCCGTTTGCTAAGACCACTGGAAAAGCACAGTATTAGGGTGGGAGTGTCCAGATTTTCCAGGTACCGTCTGTCACGGCTTCCCTTGGCTAGGAAGGGAAATCCCCGACCACTTGTGCTGCTTCCCAGATGAGGCAACGCCCTGCCCTGCTTTGGCTCACCCTCTGTGGGCTGCACCCACTGTCCGACCCGTCTCAGTGAGATGAACCAGATACCTCAGTTGGAAATACAGAAATCACCTGTCTTCTATGTCAATTATCCTGAGAGCTGCAGACAGGAGCTGTTCCTATTCGGCCATCTTGGAACGATCCTCTCTTTTCATTTATTTAAGAAATATTTGAAAAGCAAAGATTTCATCATTTTGGTGAAGTCCAATTTATCTGTTTTTCTTTTATGGAACATGTTTTTGATATTATATCTAAGAAACCTTTTCTTAGTCTGAGGTCATAAATATTTTCTCCTATTTTTTTTTCCTAGAAGTTTTACAGTTTTAGCTCATACAATTAGGTCTATGATCCATTTTAGTTAATTTTCGTATATGACCTAAGGATCTAGGTTTAGTTTTTGTAAATGAATAACCAGTTCTTATAGAATCATTTGTTGAAAGAACATCTTTCTCCTATTGAATTGTCTTAGCATCTTTGATGAAAATTAATTGACTATGTGGGTTGGATTCTGAACTCCACTTAGTTCCATTGATCTATCTATCTCTCTTAATGTGGATTCTACACTGTCTTAACTACTGTTGCTTTACACTGATTTTTAAAATAAGGCAGTATTAAGTACTCTAACTTCATTCTTACTTAGCAAGATTGTTTTGGCTATTCTAGGTATTTTTGTATTTCTATATAATTTTAAAATCAGCGTGTCAATTTTTCCAATCTTTCTAGACTTTTGGCAGGAATTTCAGTTAATTTGTAGATCAATTGACATCTAACAATATTGAGTCATCTAATCCATTAACATGATATATCTCTCCATTTATTTAGGCATTTATCTGAGTGATGTTTTTTAGTTTTCAGTGCAAAGGTTTCACACTTATTTTGTTAAATTTATTCCTAATTATTATTGCTATAGTTTGAGTGTCTCTACCAAAACGCATGTTGGAACGCTTAAGAGGTAGGGCCTATTGGGAAGTGTTTGGGTCTTGGGAGCTCTTCCTTTGTGGGAAGCTTGGTACTATTCTTACACTGGTGAGTGAGTTCTCACTCTTGTGAGATTAGTTCTCTCAGGAATGGATTAGTTACCATGAGAATGAATTGCTATACGGTGAGGTCACGCTTCATGCTTGGCCTCCTGGTACTTGCCTACTCCCCTTTGACCTTATTCTAACATGTTGTGACACAACACTAAAGCTTTCACCAGAACCCAAGCAGATGCCAGTGTCATTCTTTCCAGCCTGCAGAACTGCAAGCCAAATATACCTCTTTATAAATTACTCAGTCTCCGGTATTCTGTTATAGCAACACAAAACGGACTAAGACAGAAAATTGGTACTGAAAGTGGGATGTTGCTATTTAGATTTTCAAAAATGCAGAAGCATCATTGGAACTGGGTAATGCGCAGAAGTTGGAAAAGTTTGAAGGAGCAGACTAGAAGAAGACTGTATTGCCATAAACAGAGCATTAAGGATAATTTCAGTGAGGGCTCAAAAGACAACAAAAAGATGAGAGAAAGTTTAGAATTTCTCAGAGATTGGTTAAGTAGTCATTACCACAATGCTGATAAAAATATGGACAGCAAAGGCCATTCTAATGAGATCTCAGATAGAAATGAGGAACAAGGTATTAGGAACTGGAGACCAAGTCATCCTTGTTAGACCATAGCAAAAATTTGGCTGTGTTGTTTCTAAGGCTTTGTGCCCTAAGGTTTTGTGGAAGGCCAAACTTAAGAGTGATGAACTAGGGTACCTGGCAGAAGAAATTTCTAAGCAAAATATAGAGCAGCTATGTAGTTACTCCTTACTACATTCAGTGAAATGCAAAATGACAATGGAAGCAAACACAAAAATTTGAAAATTAATAGCCTGGCCATGTGGAAGAGAATGAAAGAGCATTTTCAGGTGAAGAATCCAAGGGTGCAGCAGAACAACCAATACTAAAGAGATTAGCACTGAGAGAAGAAAACCAGTTGACAATTATTGAGACAATTTTTTTAAAGGCCCTGAAGACATTTCAGAAATTTTTGAGGTTGCCTTTCCAGAGGTCTAGGAGGACAGAATGGTTTTAAGAGACAGAACCCATGCATCACTGCCCTGTGCTGTTTTGAGATCCTGCTCCCCAAATTCTGGCACAGCCCTCAGCAGCCACCCAACCCATGGCACAATCATACTCAGGTGTGGCTCAGGCTGCCATTCCACAAGATACAAACCATAAACCTTGGTGACACACAGTCATGGATCAAGCAGCCTCAGATACAGCTCATGACAGCACTCTGGAGGGTGCAAGCGGTAAGCCTTGATGGCTTTTACAACCTTGTGGTACTATTTTTGCAGATGTGCAGAATACAAGAGAAGTGGAGGCATGGTGGCTGCCACCTAGATTTTAAGGAATGTACTGAAAAGACTGGGAGCTCAGGTGGAGACTTGTTGCAGGGCCAGAGCCACTGCAGTGTACCTCCCCTAGGGCAAAGCTGAGGAGAAATGTAGGGTTGGAGCTGCCACAAAGAGTCTGTACCAGGGCAATGCCCAGTGAATCCACGAAGTGGACCACCACTGGGACTCCAGAACTATAGAGCCATTGCCACCATGCAACCTCAGCCTGGAAAGGCCACAGGTATCCAACTCCAACCAGTGAGAGTAGCCATGTGGCTATGCCCAACAAAGCAATGGAGGTGGGGCTGCCCAAGGCTTTAGGGATAAAAACTCCCCACTGTGCCCAGGAGGTAGCACATAGAGTGGAGAATTATTCTGGAGCTTTAAGATTTAGTGTATGCCCTGCTGAGTTTTGCACTTGCTCGAGGTCTGTCACCTCTTTCTTCTTTTGGCTTATTTCTCCCTTTTGGAATGGGACTGTCTGCCATATGACTATTCCACCATTGTATCTTGGAAGTAAATAACTTGTGTTTTTTTATTTTTATTTTTATTTTACAGGCTCATAGCTAGAAGGAATTTGCTTTGAGTCTTATATGAGACTTTGGGCTTTGACCTTTAAATTGTTACTGGAATAAATTAACACTTTGGGGACCATTGAGATTGAATAATTACATTTTGTAGTGTAAGAGGGACATGAGTTTGTAGTTCCAAGGGTGAAATGCCATGGTTTCCGTGTTTCTGTCAAAAATCATGTTGGAACCTTTAAGAGGTAGGGCCTAATGGGAGATGCTTGGGTCATGCGGGCTCTGCCATTTTAAGCAGCTTCGTGCAGTCCTCATATAGTGAGTGAGTTCTTGCTCTCATGAAACTGGATTGGTTCCTGTGGAAATAGATTAGTTGCCCTGAGAATGGATTGTTATAAAGCAACCCATTGTACAAGGTTGTACCTTGTGTTTGGCCTCTTGGCACTTTCCCACTTCCTCTTTGGTCTTCTGCCATGTTGTGATGCACTGCTAAAGCCCTCACCAGAAGCTAAGCAGATACTGGTGCCATGCTTCTTGAACTTCCCAGTCTGGAGAAACATGAGCTAAATAAACCTCTTCGTACAGTCTCAGGTATTCTATTATAACAACATAAAACAAACTAAGACATTTATTTTTGATGCTATTGTGATTGGAATTGTTTTCTTTATTTCATCTTTGTATTGTTTGTTGCTACTATATATATAACCAATTTTTGTATATTGATCATATACTCTACAAACTTACTAAGCCCCCCTCTTAGTTCTAGTAAGTCTGGGAGGGGGTGTGGTATGTGGGTGTGTGTGTGGGTATGTTCCTTAGGATTTTCTGCATACAAGGCTAACAATAAAAAGAGTTGTCTTTTTTCCATACCTTTTTTCCTTGACTATTGCACAAACTAAGACCTGTGGTGCATTGTTAAATAGAAGTGGTAAACACAGATATCTTTGCATGTTTCCTAATCTAGAGGGAAGCACATTCTTACCATTAAATATGTTGGCTATAAGCTTCTGGTAGATGCCTTGATCATTTGAAGAAGTTCCCTTCTATTCATAAGTTGATGAGATTTTTTTTAATGTATGATTGTTGAATTCTGTCAAATGCTTTTCTGCATCTATTGAGGTGATCATATGGTTTTGTCCTTTATTCTGTTAATATAGTTTATTACATTGATTTTCGGATGTTAAGTCAACCTCACATTCCTGAGATAAACTTCATTTGATTATGGTATAAAATCCTTTTCATATGTTGCTCAATTACATTTGCTAATATTTGGTTAAGAATTTTTATGTCTAGGTTCACAAGGGATATTGGTATATAGCTGTGTTTGCTTGTAATGTCTTTGTCTTGTTTTGATATCAGGGTAATATTGATATCAAATGAAATAAGGTTAGTTGGGAAGTTTCCTTCATCCTCTATTTGCTGAATAAAGTTTTTGTAACATTGGTATTATTTCCTCCCTTAGTAGTTTGATAGAATTCACCAGTGAAGTATATTTTTTCTCTATAGGAAGATTTGAAATTACTGATGCAATTTCTTTACTTGATATTGGTATTTGTTTTTTTTTCTTTTTCCTTGAGTCAGTTTTGGTAATTTGTGTCTTTCAAGGAATTGTTCTATTTTATCTAAGTTGTCAAATTTTTTGCCTTAAAGTTATTATGCTATTTTCTTAACATCCTTTTAAGGGTAGGGTCTGTGGTGATATTTCTCTTTGATTCTTGATTTTGGGATTAGTGTCTTCTTTCTTTTTTCTTGGTCAATTTAACTAAATATTATTTATCTTCTTGACTTTCTGAAATAAGCAATTTTGGGTTTCTTTGGTTGTTTTTAACGTTATCCTGTTCTGTATTTCTCGTTTTCCACTGTGACATTTTTATTTCATACATCCTACTTACTTTCGGCTTGGTTTACTCATCTTTTTCTAGAGTCTTAAGATGGAAGTTTTGATTATCAATTTTAGATTATTTTTTCTTTCTGTTTTTAAAGCTATACATTTTCCTCTATACTCTGCTTTAATTGCATCCTGTAAATATTGCTATGTTTTTGGTTTTTTGTATTTTAAGTTTATAACATTTTATTTATAAAAATAGGCTGGGGGAAAAGGATTTATACCACTGCATTCTTTCCTGGGGGAGAACTATTTTGGGCCATTTTTGAAATTTTTTTTCCTCTTAACAATTTTCAGAGTCACATTTGAATTCCTTCAGAATGGTATTTGTCAACAAAAAAGTTCAAGTGAAAAGGAGGAGGGAAACTGGGGAAGCATGAAGAAAGGGAGTGAGAGAAGAAGGAGTGGGCATACAACAGTCAACACATAAAGAAATGGTTTTTACTGAAATGACTCTGCCCTGTGCCTCATGCACTAGGTGATGCAAGCATGCTGCTCAGACATCAACACCAAATGTCATTTAGAAATGGTAGTCTTCTCTGGGTTCTGAAGGACACTCGTTCCCCAACATGACACTATTAAATGATGCTTTCAAGGCAGACACTAAGACATTACTCCAAAGAGAAGGCTCTGGTGGCAGATGCTGGGGCCATATTCTTTATAGTCCTTCTTGGTGTGACAGACCTGAAATAACTCCAGAGTTGAGGCTAGCATTAAGCTTCCAAACCATAAGGCATAGTGCTGCATGTGACGGATTACCACCCGGACCTCTGTAAGCTTAGGTTTGATTATCCTGCCACTGAGCTCCTTACTGAGTTTTAATCTGGCATGTACCACTCTTCAAATCTCTCTGTAGTTGAGATTCATATCCCTGAATATGGCCAAACCCCTTGAAAGAACAACATTCTTATACAGTGGACAATGCACATCAATGGGACAGTTTTGTATTCATCAACAATATTCAAGATGGATTCCATAAAGTCTGGGTTGGCAAACTCTGGGTAAAAAAATATTTCAGGTTGCAGGAGCCTTTTGTAACCAACGTCTATTATGAACTTCTCCTGGTTGATCACATTGATACCTGTGTACTGTTTGATCCACTTCCAGGGATCCACATCATACTTAGCAAATTCCTTGACTATATCAGGGCAAAAGTAACAGTATTTCTCCTTAATGGCTTTTGTGGTCTCCAGTGACTGCTCAAGAGGGATTCCTACCTCCCTCTCCCTTAGCAGTTGTTGAATGAAATACACAGTATCACCTACAATCAGGATGTGATTGATGCAGCTCTCAATTACATAACCTTCTACAACTGGGAGAACAAGGGTGACTCCATCTCCTTTGTCAATGACTGTACTCATTAACATATATTCACCCACTTGTTGAGATGTCCAAGATACTTCCAAGGCTAGTACATCCTGAACTGCAATGTAGAATCCTGGTACATTAAATAGTTCAAACATAATTTCTGCAAAAATGCTCTGTATTTTCTAGTGTATTCAGTGGAAGTTCTGTCATTAAAAAATAATGGTCCTCAGATTCTGCTCAAAGATATTTAAAAACCACTTGCTCCATGAACCTTTCCATAATATCCCAGTCTTCAGTGATTCCATGTCATATTGACCACTTTGAAGCATACATATTTATCAATGGCTTCATCCTGTATGAAAAAGTCAAGGTCATCAACTCCCCTCAACATTCTCCCTTGGGCTTTGTCAACTACCTTTGCTGACTCTCTGATAGAAATGCATAAAAGAATAGTAAACTATGGCTCAGTGTTGCCTGCATAGCCAAGCTCAGAATATCTACTGAGGTGATCACAGGGCTGAGACCCAGAGCAGTGGGTACAACTCAATCTCCAGGTGTGGGCTGGATGTCAGGGGCTGAGAGCAAGGCAATGGAGGAGCCAGGGTGGGCACTGAGTGGCTCTTACCTGATGCCACAGTCTGCCACACAGGAAGGCAGGAACCCCGCCATGCTTGGAATACACAACACTTAGCCCCACTGGCCACCCTGGAGCACCCTGCCACCATCCACTTGGCAACCCACTCACCCCATACACCCTGTCTCCTGTGTGTTTCCACTTTTATTCATTTTAAGATATATTGTAGATAGGTGCAGCAAACCACATGGCACGTGTATACCTATGTAACAAACCTGCACGTTCTGCACATGTATCCCAGAACTTAAAGTACAATAAATTTTAAAAAAGGAATATTTTAAAGGATCAACCTACTATTTGGCAGTCATGGAAATAGTGAATGGGAATTAAAGGGAAAAAATAAGTAAGCAAAGGAAGGGAGGAGGAAAGGGAAAAAGAAAGGAAAGAAAAGGAAAAGGGAAATACAAGAAAAGGAGACAAATAAATAAATAAATAAACAAATAAGTGACTGAAAGTCTGAGAGTCGGCAAATACTATTCAGACAACACCGACAAAATAGGCCTCTTGCTAAAAATAGCAGAATGCACAAAGTACAGGAGCATCCTGTCTGTCCTGAGAGGCTGGGGAGGTTTAGGAAAAGAGGCTGGGGAGATTTGAGACAGGTCTGAAGTATGTAGTCAGTTTTTGCTTAGTGGAAAAAGTAATCATGGGTGATTCAGAAAAAGGAAGATACTTACATAATAATTGTTTTGTACCTTTTTTTAGTCTTCTATTACTTTCATAAAATTATCTTTGCATCAAAAATTATTAACACTTTCAGGACTCCTTGTATGCAAAATTCTTTGAATTGCATTTCTTAATTTGTGATCACACTGGTAATTTATCTAGCACAATGAACTGAATGTGTGTCTTTACGTTTAAAGGGAAAAATAAAATTCAAAACAGCATATTTGATATAATTTATGATTAGATAATAGAGAAATATAAATTTTAATATAATTTTTAGAAAGTAAAACTTAGACCAGTCACGATGGCTCCTGCCTGTAATCCCAGCACTTTGGGAGGTTGAGGCGGGTGGATCACCTGAGGTCAGGAGTTCAAGACCAGCCTGACCAACATGGAGAAACCCTGTCTCTACTAAAAATACCAAATTAGCCAGTACTAACGATTCATGAGAAATCTGCCCCCATGATCCATTCACCTCCCAGCAGGACCTATCTCCAACTTTGGGGATTACAATTCAACATGAGATTTGGGCAGGGACACATATCCAAACTATATCAACAGAGTTTCATTGTGTTGCTCGGGCTAGTCTCAAACTCCTAGCCTCAAGCAGTACTTCTATCTCAGCCTCCCAACTACCTTTGGGGATTATAATAATCAATCATCTTCACTTTTTACAATCTACTTTGGTTTAGTAATTTTTACTTAATTCCAGTGTTATATAGCAACTTTGATCAATGTATCTCTTATATGCTATGAACTCAGCAGTATTGTTATAGTTATTGCCTATAATAATCAGATGATTTTTTTAAAAAAAGAGATGAAATCAGAATACACACACACACACACATACAATCTTTTTTTTTTTTTTAAGACGGAGTTTCGCTCTGTCGCCCAGGCTGGAGTGCAGTGGCGCGATCTCGACTCACTGCAAGCTCTGCCTCCCGGGTTCACGCCATTCTCCTGCCTCAGCCTCCCATGTAGCTGGGACTACAGGCACGCGCCACCATGCCCAGCTAATTTTTGTATTTTTAGTAGAGACGGGGTTTCACCGTGTTAGCCAGGATGGTCTCGATCTCCTGACCTCGTGATCCGCCCGTCTCGGCCTCCCAAAGTGCTGGGATTACAGGCGTGAGCCACTGCGCCCGGCCCACATACAATCTTTTATACTTACAAATTTATTTACCATTTCCCGTGCCATTTATTCCTTATAGGTTCAAGTTGCCATCTGGTGTCATATCCTTTTATCTTAAAAGCATTTTCTTTAGTGTTTCTTTAGCAAGGATAAGTTCTCTTTATTTTTATTTATCTGGAAATGTCTTTATTTCAGCTCCATTTTTGAAGGATCATTTTAATGGATACAGAATTTTTAATTGACAGTTATTTTTCCCTCCACTTTTGAAATGTCGCTTCATAAGGCCTCCATTTTTTTCAGATAAAAATGCCAGTATTGATAATATTATTGTTCCCCTGTATGTGATAAGTCATCCCTTGCTACTTTCATGATTTTCTTATTATCCTTGGTTTTCACCAATTTGACAAGGATGGCTCTAGGTGTGAATCTCTTTGTGTTTATCCTACTTGAGATTTGTTGGCCTTCTTATATCTGAAGATTAATGTTTTTTGTAGCATTTTTGAAGTTTTCAGACATTATGTTTTCAAATATTTTTCTGTCCTCTTATCTCTCTCTTCTCCTGGAATTCCCATTATGCATATGGTAGTGCTCTTGATGGTATCCCATAAGTTTCTGAGGATCTGTTTATTATCCTTCATTCTTTTTTCTTTTTGTTCTTCAGATTGATTAACCTCTATTGGCCTATCTTCAAGTTCACTGATACTTTCTTTCACAAGGTCAAATATGCTATTGAACCTCGCTAGTGATTTTTTCACTTTAACTGTTGTACTTTTCAATTCTAGATTCTATTTTTAAACATATTCTGTCTCCTTATTCGTATTCTCTATTAGACAGCACTTTATCATATTTTTAATTTGAACATATTTATAATATATACTTTGAAAACTTTCTTTCTAAATCCAATATCTGAATTGAGACAGTTTCTATTCACTGCTTTTTTTCCAGAGTATAAGCCATATTTTCCTGTTTCCTTACATGTCTGATAATTTTTAATTGAAAACTAAACACTTTAATTACACATTATAGCAAATCTGGATTTGGTTTTTATTTGTTATTGTCTTTGTTGTTGTTATGTTTTGGTAATTGGCCTATACTTGTGCTGTGTAATCCTTCTGCCCAGTGGTTTTCAGCATTGATGTCTTTTATATTGTGTTGTTGTTGTTATTGTTGTTTTAGCCTGTCTTTCTAGGGATTTCCTTTGTGTCTGTTGCATAGCTTGATTTTTGAGAGACATTATATTAAAGCTAGTAGTAAGGCTTCCACTCTCTGCCAAATAATCTGTGGGTGGGTGGGTGAATGCATTCAAAGTTGCAATTAATACTCAAGTCTTACTTCATTTTTACTTTTTGTCATACTATCTTGAGTCTTTCCTGCACTTCCATACTTTTCCAATCGGCAGTATGTGTGGAGAACTTTTCTCAGACTTTTTATGATTCTCTCCTTTCCAGGATTTCTCTCTCTCTCTTTTTTTTTTTTTTTAGTAATACTCAGGTTTTTAATTTATTATAGTGAATGGATACAAAGCAGAATTAGCAAAGGGAAAAAGTTGTATGTGGTAAAGTCTGGAGGATACCAGGTATGAGCTTCTTGGAATCATCTCCTGTGGAGTTACAAGGATGTGTTTCTCTTTCCCAGCATGAAATTTTGACAGCACATGTGCAATGTCATCTACCAGGACCAGAGTCTCATTAGAGACTCAGTTCTCAGGATTTTACGGAGGTTACTCTCCTTCACATGTACCAGAATTCCAGACTCTCAGAGGAAAAGCAGCTGTTCAGAGTAAACCACATTGTTTGTATAAACAGTTTAGGCACAGTGAGCCACTCTTCTCAGTGAGAGAATTGGAACTTGGAACTGGAAAACTCTAGCCTAGCATGTGGGTCTTTCTTTTCTTTCTTTCTTTCTCTTTCTTTCTTTCTTTCTTTCTTTCTTTCTTTC
Organism: Homo sapiens; assembly: GCF_000001405.40. Taxonomy (NCBI): domain Eukaryota; kingdom Metazoa; phylum Chordata; class Mammalia; order Primates; family Hominidae; genus Homo; species Homo sapiens. The sequence continues at coordinate 133,633 of NT_187383.1, read as the reverse complement.
TTTCTTTCTTTCTTTCTTCCTTTTTCTTTCTTTCTTCTTTCTTTCTCTCTCTCTTTCTTTCTTTCTCTCTCTCTTTCTTTGTTTCTTTCTCTCTTTCTTTCTTTCTCTCTCTTTCTTTCTTTCTTTCTTTCTTTCTTTCTTTCTTTCTTTCTTTCTTTCACTTTGAGTTCCAGGATACATGTGCAGAACATTCAGGTTTGTTACACAGGTATACATGTGCCATGGTGGTTTGCTGCACCTATTGACCCTCAGGATCTCTCACTTAAATTTTTGTCTTGTCTTCCACTTCCCCAGTTGAAACTGCAACCTCAGACTAGCAAATCTGCAATTCTCTCTGTTCATTCCCAAACCACTCTGCTATATTTAACTGGCAAAACCATTGATTTCTTCCCTCTGCTCCATACCAAATCCACCCGTGCCCCCAGCCCTAACAGGAAAGCTGCTGGGTTTTACATCCAGCTTCAAACTGGTAAAACTACAGTTTTCCCCAACTGAGCTTGGGGGTGAGAAGAGAGATGGGAGTGTATTAGTCTGTTTTCATTCTGCTAATAAAGACATACCCAAGACTGGGAAGAAAAAGAGGCTTAATTGGACTTATAGTTCCAGGTGGCTGAGGAGACCTCAGAATCATGGCAGGAGGTGAAAGGCACTTCTTACATGGTGGTGGCAAGAGAAAATGAGGAAGATGCAAAAGCGGAAACCCCTGATAAAGCCATCAGATCTTGTGAGACTTATTCACTACCACGAGAACAGTATGGGGGGGAACCACCCCCATGATTCAATTATCTCCCACGAGGTCCCTCCCACAACACATAGGAATTATGGGAGTACAATTCAAGATGAGATTTGGATGGGGACACAAAGCCAAACTATATCAGGGAGAAACCCCCGTCAGGAAGGGCTCAGACTTTTACCAATCCTACCCAAAACCCTAACACTTTTTTCAAGAATAAATGCTTCTTAAATTTGATAACTGCCTTTGATGAGTTTTCAGGGTCCTGAAATTATTGTTTTTGGTATTTCTGCAATTTTTGGGGGGAGTTTTGGTGTGGAAATAAATTGCCAACCTTTTCATGTCACCTCCCAACCTTATCTTTATATCCTCTGATTAACAATTTTCATTAGTAATGTGTTACACAACAAATACTTGTTTAGACTAACCTACATTTTACCAATTTCTTTGCACATTGTTCCGTCTTTTCTGGTTCTATGTCATATTTCTAAAGCATATCTTTCAGTAGATTTTTCCCTGGTAAAAAATGGCATATGTTCTTAAATGTATTTGTTTGACAATATCTTTCATTTGTCTTTTGTTCGAGTGACAGTTAACTGGCTACAGAATTCAACACTGAATGTTTTATTTATCTCTGTACTTTGAAGACTTTATTTAATTATCTTCCATCTTCTATTGTTGCTGATAAGAATTGAGAATCTGCTCTATTGTTTATTCAATTATGATTAATCTCTCTTTCTCTGTCTAGATTATTTAAGATTTTATTTTTGCCTTTGGTAGTCTATAGTTTCTCAACATTTTATCTAAGTATCTATTTTTACTTAATCATGATTAGAACTCATTTGACTTCCTGTGTCCAAATCAATAAAAACCCTAATCAATTCTGTAAAATTTGAAGCCAGTTTTCTTCTCAAATATTATATCTTCTTCATTCTTTCAATGGATGTTTCTGAAACTACCATTAGTTGTGTTTTAGATCTTTTCCATAATCTAAATCTCTCATTTTCCACCTCGTTTTTTTTTTGTGTGTGCTATGCTCTTAAATAATTTCCTCATATCTACTACTTTGCTGTGTTCTCTCTTCAGCTTTGCCTAGATTGCTATTTGGGTACTTAGTGGGTTTTTTTCAGTTGAGTAAATTTTAAAGTTTTTTCTAGATGTTCTATTTAATTATTTTACAATACTTTCAAGTAATTTCTTCTTCTCATGTCTCCAATTTTTAAAAATTTTCTCTAGTCCCTTTGAAAATACATATTTTATAGTGTCTATCTAGTGGTTCTATTAGCTGAGGTTTTTAGACATCTAATCCCATTCTTTATTGTATCTGTTAACTTTTGCTCATGGGATATTTCTTCTTATTTTAAGTTCAGATTCACTTGGCTTTACCTTTGAGACTTTATGCAGTCTGGGATCAGGTGTGTCTATTAGAGATTTTTTGAATTAGCATCTACTAAGTTTTCTAGGGATACTTCAATGCAGGGACACTTTTATGGTAGGTTTAGAACTTTGGGATCCCTAACCTGTGCACGTAATGTAATTTGAGCCCTACGCATAAGTTGGATGAGGCCAGTTTTACATATGAATTCTCAAAAAAGACTTTGCCACCCAGAGACCAGCTAAGACAAACTGCCTTGTCTTCTCAATTTGTCAGTAGGATGACATTTTCTGGTCTGTGTTTTTTATTTTTGTTTTTTGTTTTGTTTTGTTTTCTTGAGATGGAGTTTTGCTCTTGTTACCCAGGCTGGAGTGAAGTGGCGCCATCTCAGCTCACTGCAATGTCCGCCTCCTGGGTTCAAGCAATTCTCCTACCTCAGCCTCCCAAGTAGCTGGGATTACAGGCATGCACCAACAGGCCAGGCTAATTGTCTGTATTTTTAATAGAGACGGCGTTTCACCGTGTTGGTCAGGCTCATCTTGAATTCCTGACCTCAGGTGATCCACCCGCCTCGGCCTCCCAAAGTCCCGGGATTACAGGCACGAGCCACCATGCCCAGCCTGGTCCATTATTTTAGTAAGAGTTTAGCCCTCCAAGGCTTCCAGTTTTGCAGGATGACAATAATCAGAGGGGAGGAGGAAAAAAACTTTGTTCTAACTTTCTGCCTGGAGTGAGTCAAAATCCTCCTCTTCTACCCTGGCAAATTCTATACAGCCAGAAAGGGTTCATAGCTAAAAAGTTCATGTAAGCTGTTTTAAGAATATTAAAAGCTCCTGGCTAACATGGTGAAACCCAGTCTCTACTAAAAATACAAAAAATTAGCCGGGCGCGGTGGCGGGCGCCTGTAGTCCCAGCTACTCGGGAGGCTGAGGCAGGAGAATGGCGTGAACCCGGGAGGCAGAGCTTGCAGTGAGCCGAGATTGCGCCACTGCACTCCAGCCTGGGCGACAGAGCGAGACTCCGTCTCAAAAAAAAAAAAAAAAAAAAAAAAAAAGAATATTAAAAGCATTAGCAATTATGATTCATAGCAAATAAAGGTAGCCATTTAATTAGCAAATGGAAATTTACCATGTTATTGTCTGTCCTTTACAGAAACCTGTGGATTCCTCAGTGAGTAGCACCTAGTTGTCAGAAACAAGATGTCTAGTAACTTATACCTACTCATCTTAATCTACCTCTACCTCCTACACATAATCTAAGATACTTTATATTTATTCCCACAAAATCTAGGTACATTTCTTCCAGCCATTTCCTCCTATAATACATTTATGCCAAATATCAGTTGAATTATCCTTTCAATAAAAAGATTTAGCAGGTTCCTGTTAAAAGATTTGGCACCTTGACACTGTGATCTTCAATAAGGTTGTGAATTCTTATCACAGCCAATCATCCTCTTATTTTCCATCCTGATGAAAAAGCTATTTTAAAATATAAAATGAAGTAAATCTCATCATATTGCCATGATGTTTTTAACTATCATATATTATAAGTTAGCATTTTCAAGAGTTCACATATAGGTTTTTTTTTTAATTTTTTTTATTTTTTTATTGAGACTGAGTCTCACTCTGTCACCCAGGCTGGAGTGCAGTGGCACAATCTTGGCTCACTGCAACCTCCACCTCCTGGGTTCAAGCAATTCTCCTGACTCAGCCTCCCATATAGCTGGGATTACAGGCACGCACCACCACGCCTGGCTAATTTTTGCGTTTTTAGTAGAGACGGGATTTCACTGTGTTGGCCAGGCTGGTCTCAAACTCCTGACCTCATGTGATCCAGCCCACCTCAGCCTCCCAAAGTGCTGGGATTAAGGCGTGAGCCACTGCACCTGGCCCACATATAGTTTTTAAATATTTTTAAAGTGAAAACACTTTGTTTAAAACCTACTTCATAAATTGACAGGTTATTTGGAATATATGTTAAGCAGATATCTCTTTCACCAAACTAGTAAGCAATGTTGATCTATACCATGTATCATTTTATAGAACTGGCTATTAGTATATATGATAAAAGAGAATTGATCATTTGTTTGTATACATCTATGTGTATGTAGATATATAGCTGTACACTTTTTTGTATTTTAGGAGTTACACTGTTTGTGATATGGTGTATGACCTGGTCAATCTTAGGCTCTGAAGCTCTCCCTAGTGGAAATTTATTTGGATTGTTAATTATTTTTTATAGTGCCATTATTGGGGGAAAAATTTTACAACTCATTAGAATACCTTTAGTGCCTCCATTTCCACCTCTTCTTGGTAAGTATATAATTAGCTCTCTTTTCTTTATTATTGACTATATGCAAATTTTGAACATTTTCTTGTTGAATTAGTTATAATTCAGAAATATTTCAATGTAGTATGTTTTATATAGTTTCTTCATGTGTGTATTTGCTGTATGTGTGTGTGTGTGTGTGTATAGCTCTTTTATAGGGGCATTTATTTCTCTCTCTGTCTACATATATACACACACAAGTTTTATCCAAAATTTATTTTTAAAATAAATTTAATATCCTTAGTACATTATTCCTGTTGCTTTATTGTTTAATAGAATCTTTAAAAATTTTAGATTCACGGAGTACATGTGCAGGTTTGGTACATGGATATATTGCATAATGGTGAGATTTGGGCTCTAGTGAACCCATCATCAAACAGTGAATACTATACCCAATAGGAAATTTTTCAACCTTAACTCTCCAACCCTCTCTCCTTTTGGACTCCCCAGTGTCTATTATTTCCATCTTTATGTCCATATGTACCCATTGTTTAGCTACCACATATAAGTGAGAACATGTGGTATTTGAGTTTTCTGTTTCTGAGTTATTTCACTTAGGATAATGGTGTTCAGCTCTATCCATGTTGCTACAAAGGACATGATGCCATTCTTTTTTATGACTGCATAGTATTCCATGGTGTATATGTAACACATTTTCTTTATTTAGTCATTTAAGTTGATTCCATGTCTTTTTATTGTGAATAGTGCCACAATGAACATATGTGTGTATATGTCTTTATGGAAGAATGATTCACATGTTGAACCATCCTTGTATTTCTGGAGTACAACCCACTTAACTATATTATCTCTTTGATGTACTATTGAATTGATTTTGCTAGTTGAGAATTTTTGCATCTATGTTCATCAGGGATATTGACCAGTAGTGTGTGTGTGTGTGTGTGTGTGTGTGGCTTTGCCTGATTTGGGTATAATTGTGATACTAGATTCATAGAATGTGTTAGGGAGGGAGTCCCTCCTTGATTTTTTTGGATTAAGTTTCAGTCACCTTTGACCCTGAACTAGTATTCTAGTGGATTGTACAATGACCCTGAACTAGTGGATTGTACAATGAATAAATGAATGAATATAAATTATTGCAAAATAAAATTTTGTTAAGTATATGATAACCATACAAATGCAAGACAATAAACAATGTGATGTGAAAACTCTCAGCCAGCCTACCATATTTGTGTTTGTTTTTGAACTGTATAGTGGGAGGAGGTGCTCCTTACAATTTTCACTTTGTAAACATTTATTCTTTGATTTTAACCATCACTGCTATAACCACCGTCACTCGTGGATTCATCAAAAATTAAGTAAAGAATTATCTTATTTATTTTATAAAACTTTGTAAAATGTATGTAGAGCTCAAATTTATTTCATTGTTTAATACTAGAAGTGTTTTGGATCTTTATTTAGAAGTTTGATGATGTTTTGTGACCAGAAATATGCTGTAGGAAATTGACTCTTGTTCATATCATTTAGCCTATGCTAAAATTGGTTTTATTGTATACCATTTTACTCAAAGTTGCCATTTCCAATCACCTATCGACGATGCTGAGTGAGAACTTACTGTATTCAAATATATCTAAATATTCAGTACAGTGGGCCAGGCATGGTGGCTCATGCCCATAATCCCAGCAGTTTGGGAGGCCAAGGCAGGAGGATCACCTGATCCCAGGAGTTCAAAACCAGCCTGGGCAACATAGCAGACCTTGTCTTTACAAAATATTAAAAATTTTTCTGGGTCTCAGCTACTCAGGAGGCTAAGGCAAGAGGATCACTTGAGCTCAGGAGGTTAAGCCTACAGTGAGCCATGTTTGCATCACTGCACTCACCTTGGGCAACAGAATGAGACCCTGTCCCCAAAAATAAATATATATTCAGTACACTGTCAGTAGAGATAATCTCTACATCTTATCCCTGCTGTCCCTTCTGTATCCACAGTTTTCTTACAGCACCTTCTAAGTATTTATTGAATCATTTTCCTCCTCTCCAAACTTTCTCTTTTGCTCTAGCTTAGGCTATTTGTTTCCAACTTTTGCGTGGACTGTGACGGAGCCTTCAATTTGGTCTCTGTCTCCAGTTTTATCCCTAACTAATTCACCAAGACCCTCATATAAAAATCGCAAGACTCATTATATTACTTCCTGCCTAAAACCTTCCCATGGTGCCTTACTTTGCCAAAGTGGGGGGAGACCTTTCTATGATCTGGCCCACCAAGCTCATTCTCCTCCCTCCTTTCCTTGCCCTGTATGTTCCAGCAACACTAAATTACTTGTTGAACCCCATTTAGGTGTATTGTTTATCGCCATTCCTTTATTCATGCTGCCTTCTCTACTTGCTTGTAACCTGCCCTTTACCAAAATAATGAGAGACATAGTGCATTAGAAAATAAACATTTCTGTTTTCTTTCTCAGAAAAATGAACTGTCATGTATGTTTATTTTCTTTCTTTTAAGGGATGTTACTGGCTGGATTTACAATTAGGAATGTTCCATTCATCAGTGAACACGTCCATGTTCCTAACGCATGGTCTTCAATTTTAAGAAGCATTGCCCTTAACATTATTCTAATACGAGCTGGGCTTGGACTCGATCCACAGGTAGATTTACAATTACAAATCGAGTAAGGTTATTTCAAATATTAGAGGATGGTGAGAAAGAAAAAGAAGCAAAAATTGTATTTACCTGTTCCAAGTGGAGTCTGTAAACAAACCTAAGATAAAGAAAAAAAGGCCGGGCATGATGGCTCATGCCTGTAATCTACAAAAATTAGCCGTGCATGGTGGCATTTACCTGGTAATCCCAGCTACTCGGGAGGCTGAGGCAAGAGAATCGCTTGAACCTGAGTGACAGAGGTTGCAGTGAGCTGAGATAGTGCCACTGCAATCCAGCCTGGGGGACAGAGTGAGACTCCGTCTCAAAAAACAAAACAAAACAAACAAACGTTTTATAAGAAAAACCTTATACAATTCTTTTTCTTTTTTTAGGGAGATTAAGGATTTCAGTAATTTTTTATGACGTTTTCTCTACAGGATTATGTTCCTGATTATCTTTGCATTATTGTAAAATCTAATCTTTTAAAGCATTTCTTAAAATATTACATTCTAGGGATCATAAATCCCATCTATAAGAAGATGACTATTCATGAATATGACAGCCACTCAAATAAATGTGGCAAATGTGGTTTAATAGAAATAGCTCAAGAGCATAAATAATTATAGCCAATGAGATTATATTCTCCAGCAGAAAGTATGAACCAAGGAGAAAATTGAAAAGTTCTCCCTTTTAAAATGAATTATGCAGTTTTTAAGTTATTTTCTTTGGCATGTTAGTGTTGTATTTATACTTATTAAGTTAATCAAAGAGTTCATATCAAAAAGTTAATGGGAAAACACTACTAGGACACTATTATTATACTATGTATTAGGAAAGTTCAGGAAGGTAGCATTAGCTATTTAATCACAGTAAAATTGATATTTTCATATTAAAATACAATAATATTTTATAAAAGATGAAATTGTTTATAATCCAACCTATGATGACTTATAAAATATAATAGAGTTCAAAGTCCAGTGGGGCAATCTGTTGAAATGAGATTTTGTTTAGTGAAAGCTTCTTATGAAAAAAGACTTTATAGTCCAACATTTGTTAAAATAATTTTCTTGTTGGCCACTGTAAATGCATCAAATGTGACTGTTTTGTGTTTCAGGCTTTGAGACATTTGAAGGTGGTTTGTTTCAGATTGGCTGTAGGTCCATGCCTTATGGAGGCAAGTGCAGCTGCTGTTTTTTCCCACTTCATTATGAAATTTCCCTGGCAATGGGCAATTCTATTAGGGTAATTTCTTTCTCATTTTTTCTTATGAAAATATTCAATTAAGGATGCTTGTTTAAAACTGTTAAAACATTCAGAATATTGTATAGAAAATCTCTATTAAAATTCATTTCACAGTGTTAAAATCCTTGGAAAGCAGTTGATTAAAAGCAGAGAATGTCCCAAATTGCACGAAATTTTTTTAACAAACATTCATATCCCCTAAATGTTTATCATAAAGAAAATTCACGTGATCAATTTATTCCTTTTCATCTGTATTATAACATATCTGTATGCTTTAGTCTATCTAATGGCCTCTTCCTCATAGCTATATGTAAATACAGTTGCACATTTCATATATATGTATGTGTGTATATATATATTTGAGAAACATTTTATATAGACATAGGTGTATAAATATAAACTCTCCCATTTTAAAGAAAGCAAGCAAACAAAAACTCTTGCCATATATCCAATGCCCCATCCATCTTTATTTACATCCATTTATCTTATGTTTGAATTCCTCAAAATAAGTCTATAACTACTGTCTCTAGATCCTAACTCCTTTTCATTTCTTAATTCATCAACTTTTGTCTCTGCTTATCCATTCCAATGACACTCATAGCAAAGATCATCCATTACATAGTTACTACAAAATCCAGTGAATTTTTAAATTAATGTTTATGATTAAATACTCAAATGCACTTTTATTTTAAAAATTAGAACTTTATAAATAAAGGAGGAATGACCTTAAACTATGCCTTCAAATCATAATGCCCGTAACTCTACCCAAAGTGACAACTCTTAGGAGTTTTTTTCTTCTCCAATTTTTATTTTGGCTCAAGGGGTACATGAGCAGGCTTGTTATATGGATAAATTGCATGTCACAGGGGTTTGGTATGCGGATTATTTTGTCACCCAGGTTGTAAGTATAATACCCAATACGTAGTTTTTCCATTCTCCCCCTCCTTCCACCCTCCACCCTCAAATTCACCTAGTGACAATTGTTCCCTTCTTTCTGTCCATGTGTACTCAGTGTTTAGCTCCCACTTATAAGTGAGAATATGGGATATTTGGTTTCCTGTTCCTGTGTTAATTCACTTTGCATATTGGCCTCAACTCCATCCACGTTGCTCCAAAGGACATGATCTCGTTCTTTCTTATGGCTGTGTATTATTCTATGGTGTATATGTGCCACATTTTCTTTATCTAGTTCACCATTGATGGGCATTTAGGTTGATCTCATGTCTTTTTTATTTTTTTCATTAGTTTTTAAGGAACAGGTGGTGTTTGTTTACATGGAAAATATTTTTAGTGGTAATTTCTGAGATTTTGGTGCACCCATCACCAGAGCAGTGTACACTGCACCCAAGGTGTAGTCTTTTATCCCTCACCCTCCTCCTACTCTTCCCCCTAAGTCCCCAAAGTCCATTGTATCATTCTTATGCTTTTGCATCCTCATAGCATAACTCCCACTTATAAGTCAGAACATACAATGTTTGGTTTTTTCATTCCTGAATTACTTCACTTAGAATAATGGTGTCCAACTCCTTCCAGGCTGCTGTGAATGTCATTATTTCATTCCTTTTTATAGCTGAGTAGTATTCCGTCCATGGTCTGTGTGTGTATATATATACACACATACACACATATACACACATATATATGTGTATATACACACATATACACACATATATATGTGTATATACACACATATATATGTGTGTATATACACATATATACACATATATATGTGTATATACACATATATACATATATACACATATATACACATATATATGTGTATATACACATATATACACATATATATGTGTATATACACATATATACATATATACACATATATGTGTGTATATACACATATATACACATATATGTGTGTATATACACATATATACATATATACACATATATGTGTGTATATACACATATATATATACACCACATTTTCTCTATGCATTCATTGATTGATGGGCATTTGGGCTAGTTCCATATCTTTCACAATTGCAAATTTTGCTGCCAAAAACGTGTGTGCAAGTGTTTTTTTCATATAATGACTTCTTTTCCTCTGGGTAGATACCCAGTAGTGGGATTGCTAGATCAAATGGTAGATCTACTTTTAATTATTTAAGAAATCTTCATACTCTTTTCCATAGCGGTTGTACTAGTTTACATTCCCCCCAGCAGTGTAAAAGTGTTCCCTTTTTACCACACCCATGGCAACATCAATTTTTTTTAATTTTTTGATTATGGCTCTTCTTGGAGGAGTGAGATGGTATCGCATTTTGGTTTTGTTTGCATTTCCCTGATAATTAGCGATATTGAGGATTTTTTCATGTTTCTTGGCCATTTATATCTTCTTTTGGGAAGTGTCTATTCATGTCCTTAGCACACTTTTTGATAGGATAAATTGTTTTTTTCTTGCTGATATGAGTTCCTTATAGATTTTGGATATTAGTACTTTGTTGGATGCATAGTTTGTAAAGATTTTCTCCCACTCTATAGGTTGTCTTTTTACTCTGCTGATTATTTCTTTTGCTGTGTAGAAGCTTCTTAGTTTAATTAAGTCCCATCTATTTATCTTTGTTTTTGTTGCCTTTGCTTTTGGGTTCTTGGTCATGAAGTCTTTGCCTAAGCAAATGTCTAGAAGGGCATTTCCAATGTTACCTTCTAGAATTTTTATAGTTTTAGGTGTTAGATTTAAGTCTTTGATCCATCTTGAGTTGATTTTTGTATAAGGTGAGAGATGAGGATGCAGTTTCATTCTTCTACATATGGCTTGCCAAATATCCCAGCACTGTTTGTTGAATATGGTGTCCTTTCCCAACTTTATGTTTTTGTTTCCTTTGTTAAAGATCAGTTGGCTTAAGTATTTGGCTTTATTTCTCAGTTCTCTATTCAGTTCCATTAGTCTATGTGCCTATTTTTATACCAGTATTATGCTGCTTTGGTGAATATAGCCTTATAATATAGCTTGAAGTCAAGCAATGTGATGCATCCACACTTGTTCTTTTTGCTTAGTCTTGCTTTCATTATGCGGACTATTTTTGGCTTCCACATGAATTTTAGGATTGCTTTTTCTAGCTCAGGGAAGAATGATGATGTAGATTGCTTTTGGCAGTATGGTCATTTTCACAATATTGATTCTACCTATCCATGAGCATGTGATGTGTTTTTATTTGTTTGTGTCATCTATGATTTCTTTCTGCAGTGCTTTGTAGTTTTCACTGTAGAGGTCTTTCACCTCCTTGGTTAGGTATATTCCTAAGTTGGTTTGCTTGGGGTTTTTTTCTTTGGTTTTGTTTGTTTGTTTTGTTTTTTTTGTAGCTGTTTTAAAAGGGGTTGAGATCTTGATTTAATTCTCAGCTCAGTCACCGTCAGTGTATACCAGTGCTACTGATTTGTGTACATTGATGTTGTATCCTGAAACGTTACTGAACTCATTTATCAGATCTAGGAGCTTTTTGGATGAGTCTTTAGGGTTTTCTCATTATATGATCATATCATCAGGAACAGCAACAGTTTGACTTCCTCTTTACTGATTTAGATGCCCTTTATTTCTTTCTCTTGTCTGATTGCTCTGGCTAGGACTTCCAGTACTATGTTGAATAGAAGTGGTGAAAGTGGGCATCCTTGTCTTTTTCCAGTTCTCAGGGGAATGCTTTCAACTTTTCCCCGTTCAGTATAATGTTGGCTGTGGGTTTTTCTTTCTTTCTCTTTCTGTATTTTTTTTTTGAGATGGAGTCTTGCTCTGTTGCCCAGGCTAGAGTGCAATGGCCCAATCTCAGCTCACTGCAACCTCTGCCTCCCAGGTTCAAGCAATTCTCATGCCTCAGCCTTCCAAAGACCTGGGAGTAGCTCCCCAAACTCGCCAGCATCTATTACTTTTTGACTTTTTAATAATAGCCATTCTGCCTCCTGTGAGGTTGTATCTCATTGCACTTTTGTTTTGCATTTCTCCAATGATTAGTGATGTTGAATATTTTTTCGTATACTTGTTGACTACGTGTTTGTCTTCTTTTGAGAAGTGTCTTGTCCTGTCCTTTGCGCATTTAATGAGGTTGTTAGATTTTTGCTTGTTGATTTTTCTAAGTTCTTTTTGGATTCTGGATATCAGACTTTTGTCGAATGCATGGTTTGCAAATATTTTCTTCCATTCCATAGGTTGTTTGTTGATGATATCTTTTGCTGTGCAGAAGCCCTTTAGTTTAATTAGGTCCCATTTGTCAATTTTTGTTTTTGTTGCAATTGCTTTTGGCATCTTTGTCATAAAGTGTTTTCCAGAATTGAAATTTCCTAGGATATGTCCAGAATGGCCTGTATCCAGAATGGTATTTCTTAGGCTATCTTCCAGGGTTTTTATAGTTTTGGGTTTTACACTTAAGTCTTTAATCTACCTTGAGTTGATTTTTGTAAACAGTGAAAAGTATGGAGTCCAGTTTCAATTTTCTGCATACGGCTAGCCAGTTATCCCACCACAATTTCCAAGTAGGGATTCCCTTCCCCATTGCTTGTTTTTGTCAAGTTTGTTGAAGAGTAGATGGCTATAGGTGTGTGGCTTTATTTCTGCGTTCTGTAACTTGTTCCACTGGTCTATGTCTGTTTTTGAGTTCCTTATAGATTCTGGATATTAGTACTTTGCTGGGTGCATAGTTTGTAAAGATTTTCTCCCACTCTATAGGTTGTCTTTTTACTCTGCTGATTATTTATTTTGCTGAGCATAACCATGCTGTTTTGCTTACTGTAGCATTGTAGTACAGTTCGAAGTCAGGTAGTGTGACGCTTTTGACTTTGTTCTTTTTGCTTAGGATTGCTTTGGCTATTTGGGCTTTTTTTTTTTTTGGCTCCAAATGAATTTTAGAATGCTTTTTTTTTAATCCTGTGAAAAATGTCATTGGTGTTATGATAGGAATGGCATTGACTCTGTAAATAGCCTTAGACAGTATGGACATTTTAACAATATTGCTTCTTCCTATCTGTGATCATGGAATGTTTTCCTTTTGTTTCTGTTGTCTCTGATTCTTTGAGCACTCGTTTGTAATTTTCATTTTAGAGATTTTTCACCTCCCTGCTTAGCTGTATTCCAAGGTATTTTGTAGTTTTTTTTGTGGCTACTGTGAATGGGATTGCATTCTTGATTTGGCTGTCAGCTTGGATGTTGTTGCTGTATAGAAATGCTACAGATTTGTGTACATTAATTTTTGTATCCTGAAACTTTGCTGAAGTCATTTGTCAGATCTGGGAGCTCTCGAGAGGCTACTATGGGGTTTTCTTGGTATAAAAGTGTTTCACCCAAGAAGAGGCATAGTTTGACTTCCATTCTTCGTATTTAGATGTCTGTGTTTCTTTCTCTTGCCTAATTGCACTGGCTAGGACATCCAGCACTATGTTGAATAGGAGTAGTGAGAGTGGGCATCCTTGTCTTGTTCCAGTTCTCAAAGGGAATATTCCAGCTTTTTCCCATTCAGTATGAAGTTGGCTGTGGGTTTGTCATAAATGGCTTCAATTATTTTGAGGTATGCTCCTTCAGTAACTCATTTGTTGAGGGTTTATATCAAGAAGGGATGTTTTTATTTTTAGTTCTATTTTATGATGAATCACATTTATTGGTTTGTATATCTTGAACCAAACTTGCATCCCAGCAATAAATCTTACATGATCATAGTGGACTAGCTTTTTGATGTGCTGCTGGATTCAGTTGGCTTGTATTTTGTTGAGGATTTTTGCATCTATGATTATCAGTGATAACTGTCCTGAAGTTTTCTTTTTTGCTGTGTCTCTGCCAGGTTTTCATATCTGAATGATGCTGACCTCATAAAATGAGTTAGGGAGGGATCCTTCCTCCTCATTTTTTCAGAATGATTTCAGTAGCATTGGTACCAGCTCTTCTTTACACTTCTGGTAGAATTTGTCTGTGAATCTGTTGGGTCCTGGGCTTGCTTTTTTTTTTTTTTTTTGGCTCAGAGACTTTTTATTACTCATTCAGTTTCAGAACTCATTTTTGGTTTGTTCAGGATTTCAATTTCTTCCTAGTTCAATCTTGGGAGGTTGTATGTTTCCAGAAATGTACCCATTTCTTGTAGGTGTTCTACTTTGTTTTCATAAACATGTTCATCTTAGTCTCTGAGAGTTTTTTGTATTTCTGTGTGGTTGGCGGTAATGTCCACTTTACCATTTCTGATTGTGTTTTTTGTATCTTCTCTTTTTTTTTTCCTTATTGGTCTAGCTAGTGACCTATCAAATTTATTTATTCTTTCGAAGAACCAGCTTTTAGTTTCATTTATCTTTTGTATGGCTTTTCATGACTCAATTTCATTCCATTCTGCTCTGATTTTGGTTGTTTATTTTCTTCTGCTAGCTTTGGGTTGGTTTCCTCTTGTTTTTCTGTTTCCTTTAGGTATGATATTAGGTTGTTAATTTAAGATCCTTCTAACTTTTCAATATGGGCATTTAGCACTATAAACTTTTCCCTTAACACTGCTTTGCCTGTGTCTTAGAGAGCCTAGAATATTGTATCTTTGTTTTAATTAGTTTCAAAAAATATATTGGTTTCTGCCTTAATTTCATTGTTTACCCAAAAGTCATTCAGGCACAGGTTGTTTAATTTCCATGTAATTTTATGGTTTTGAGAGTTCTTCTTAGTGTTGACTTCTATTTTTGCTACACTGAGCGGTCCAAGAGTGTGGTTGGCATGATTTCAGGGGCTTCTTTTAATTTATTGAAAATAATTTTAGACTGATAGTGTGATCAATTTTACAATATATGCCATGTACAGATGAGAAGAAGATATATTCTGTTGTTGTTGGGTGGAGTGTTCTGTAGATGGCTGTTAGGTCCATTTAGCCAAATGTTGACTTCAAGTCCTGAATATCTTTGTGCATTTTCTGTCTCTATGATCTGTCTAGTACCATCAGTGAGATGTTGAAGTCTCCCACTATTATTCTGTGGTTATCTAAGTCTCTCTATAGGTCTCTATGAACTTGTTTTACAAATGTGAATGCTCCAGTTTTGAGCACATTTATCTTTCAGACAGTTAAGTCTTCTTGTTGAATTGAACCCTTTATCATTACATAGTACCCTTCTTTGTCTCTTTGATTGTTGTTGGTTTAAAGTCTATTTTGTCTGTATTAGAATAACAATGCTTACCCTTTTTTGTTTTGCATTTGCTTGGTAGATTTTTTTCCATCCTTTTACTTCAAGCCAAGGGGTATTGTTGCATATGAGCTGGGTCTCTTGACAACAGATACAGTTGGGCTTTGCTTCTTTATCCAACTTGCCATTCTGTGAGTTTTAAGCAGGGCATTTATACTGTTTACATTCACAGTTAATGGTATTTATAGCTTTGGTCCTGCCATTATGTTGTTAGCTGGTTATTATGCAGACTTGATTGTGTAGTTACTTTACAACGTCAATGGTCTATGTACTTAAATGTATTTTTGTGGTGGCCATTAACAGTCTTTCACTTCCACGCTTAGCACTCCCTTAAGGACCTCTTGTAAGGCATGTCTGGTGGTAACAGATTCCGTTAGCATTTGTTTGTCTGAAAAGGATCTTACTTCTCCTTCACATATGAAGTTTAGTTTGGCTGGATATTAAGTTCTTGGTTGAATTTTTTTTTTTTTTTTTTTGCAACAGAGTCTTGCTCTGTCCCCAGGCTGGAGTGCAGTGGTGCTATCTCGGCTCACTGCAACCTCCACCTCCTGGGTTAAGTGATTCTCTTGCCTCAGCCTCCCAAGTAGCTGGGACTACAGACACGCACCACCATACCCAGCTAATTTTTGTATTTTTATTAGAGATGAGGTTTCACCATGTTGGCCAGGATGGTCTTGATCTCTTGACCTTGTGTTCTGCCCTCCTCAGCCTCCCAAAGTGCTGGGATTACAGGCATGAGCCACCATACCCGGCCAAGTATTTTTTTTTTAAGAATGCTGAAGGCCAGGTGTGGTGGCTCACACCTGTAATCCCAGCACTTTGAGAGGCCGAGGTGGGCAGATCACGAGGTCAGGAATTTGAGACCACCTTGGCCAATATGGTGAAATCCTGTCTCTACTAAAATTACAAAAAATTGCCAGGTGTTGTGGTGTGCACCTGTAGTCCCAGCTACTTGGGAGGCTGAGGGAGAAGAATTGCTTGAACCCGGGAAGTGGAGGTTGCAGTGAGCCGAGATAGCACCAGTGCACTCCAGCCTGGGCAACAGAGTGAGACTCCGTCTCGAAAAAAAAAAAAAGAATGCTGAATATAGGCCCCCAATTTCTTTTGGATTGTAGAGTATCTTATAGTTCTTATAGTTCCACTGTTAGCCTGGTGGGATTCCCTTTGTATGTGACCTGCTCCTTCACTTTAGCTGCCTTTCATATTTTTTTATTTCATGTTGACCTTGGGGAATCTGATGACTCTCTGTCTTGGGGATGGTCATCTTGTATAGTATCTCACAGGATTCTCTGCATTTCCTGGATTTAAATGGTGACTTCTCTAGCAAGATTTGGGAAATTTTTGTGGGCAGTATCCTCAAATATGTTTTCCAACTTGCTTGTTCTTTCTCCCTTTCTTTGAGTGGTGCCTTGAGTCATATGTTTGGTCTCTTTACATAAGCTCAGATTTCTCAGAGGTTTTGTTCATTCTTTTTTGTCGTTTATTTTCATATGACTGAGTTGATTCAAAGAAGTGGTCTTTGAGATCTGGGATTCTTTCCTCAGCTTGGTCCGTTCTACTGTTAGTACTTGTTATTGCATTATGAAATTCTTGAGGTGCATTTTTCAGCTCTATCAGTTTAGTTTGGTTCTTTCTTAAAATGCCTATTTCATCTTTCAGCTCTTATGTCATCTTATTGGATTCCTTAGATTATTTGGATTGGATTTTGACTTTCTTCTGAATCTCAATGATCTTTGTTTCTATCCAGATTCTGAAATCTATGTCTGTCATTTAGTCCTGGTTAACAACCATTGTTGGAGAGTTAGTATGATTGCTTGAAGACAGGAAGACATTCTGGCTTTTTACATTGCCAGAGTTCTTGCACTGGTTCTTTCACATCTGTGTGGGCTAAGGTTCCTTTAATGTTTTGACTCACTGTCCTTTGGATGGAGTTTTTTCCTTTTTTATATTCTTTAATGCCCTTGAGGGTTTAACTGTGGCACAAGGTAGTTTCAGTCAAATGGCTTCATTTCTGGAAGATTTCAGGGGGCAAAGGCTCAGCTCAGCACTCCTGAACTGCATGCTCTAACTTTGCAAGGCTGGTACCATACCCACAGATTTGTTGTCTGGCCCTTCAATGTTAAGCACTAAGGTGTTCCCAGTCCACTGGCAACAACACTCTGATGGGATGTGCCAGCCAAAGTGCTTCACTGTAGTGATTGTAGCAAGGTCCCCACTCACACATACGTGCCAGCAGCAGCAGCACACAGCAGGTATGCATGTGTTGGCAGGGGTGCAGTGCCGGCAGGAGTGGGATGGGGGTGTTCTGCATACTTGCACGTGCCAGCCGGGGCAATGGTGCTGTGGGGTGCACTCATGTGCCGCTGGAGACAGAGTGGCAGCATCTTCGTGAGTTTTATGTTATCATTCTAGAGCTTTAAAAATAATGTTCTGGACTTCTAACAAATGTATTTGTGAACCCAGAGAAAAAAAGAGTATTATTTTGTGCATTTTTATGTAATCATACCCAAGAAAATTTTACTTTACAATTTGTTCTTTTCACTCAACAATAGTCTCAAGGTTTATCCATCTCAAGATGGATACACATGTAGTTTATTCCTTTTAATTGTATAAGATTACATTGTATGTCAACAGCAGATTTTATTTACAATGTTATAACAAAAATAGCATTTTATTTGTCTCATTTTACATAACTATAAGTTTGTCTAGAATAGTTACCTGGGTTACATGCATTTTTAGTTTGATATATACAGCCAAAATCCTTTCGGTATGGCCACTTTAATTTGCCCTAATACCAGTAGCTTATGAGCATACCTGTTGTTCTTGAAAATCCTTGCAAATCCTTGATATTATTAAATTTTATAATGTTTTCCAGTCTGATAATTGAAAAAATGGCATATTTTTGTTATTTTAATTTGCATTTCTGTGATTATTCACAAGCTTGAATATATTTTATATATGTGTTGTCCTTCAGCTTTTCCTTATCTGTAGCTAGCCTGTTCATATCTTTGTCCATTTTTTTGTTGAGTTGGTCTTCTGTATTAATTATATATGTTATATGCATTTGTAAATTATATGTACTGCAAATATCAGTAGATATTTAATTTTGTTTGTGATGATTTTTTTCACTCTAATAAGTGTATTTTGTTATTTTCAACAGACAGAATTGCCAATACACAACACTGTTCACTTGACTTTGAAAATGAAAAAGAGAAAAAGGGGGAGAAAGAGCAGAATTGCTTTCGAAGTAGTACTTTATTATAGTACTTTTGAAGTTGCTTTTGAAGTACTACTTTAATATAATTGAATGTATCAAAATCTCTTTTTATGTCTAATGCCTTTGTATGTATCATTCAAAAGGTCCTTTTTACCTCATGATCACAAATATATTATTCTACATCTTTTTGTTGTTGTTGTTCACAGTCTTGCTGTCACCCAGGCTGTAGTGCAGTGGCATGATCTCAGCTCACTGCAACCTCCACCTCCCAGGTTCAAGTGATTCTCCTGCCTCAACCTCCCAAGCGGCTGGGACTACAGGCATGCACCACTGCACCCAGCTATTGGTTTTGCCATGTTGGCCAGGCTGGTCTCAGATTCCTGATCTGTCCGCCTCAGCCTCCCAAAGTGCTGGGATTACAGGTGTGAGCCATCACGCCTAGCCCACTACATTTTCTTATTACTACTTTTCCTTTTGAGCTTTTAACAGTTATTATGTGTAAGGATCTATCTATATTCCTTTCCACATAAATAGTTATCTCAACACCATTTGTGAAAGATTTCTTTCTTTCTCCCACTGATTTAAAATACCAATTTATGATGTAACAAATCCCATAGATTTGTTTCCACACTTTGTATTCTCTTTTCTTCCAATTTATTTTGTCTATTTATATGTCACTATTATTCAGTTTTAACTATTTAACCTTTACAAAAATAGTATCTGGTTTTCTTAAGTTTACTTGATCTTTCATTCTAAGATCTTATTCTTCCAAATGAATTTTATAATCAGCTTTTCAAGCTCAGTAAAAGTCCCTGCAAAGATTTTGATTGGTGTATCTCTGATTAATTCATTTGGGGAGAGATTACATCTTTATATTATTGAGGCTTTGGCTGGGCATGGTGGCTCACACTTATAATCCCAGCACTTTGGGAGGCCAAGGCAGGCATATCACTTGAGGTCAGGAGTTCAAGACCAGCCTGGCCAAAATGGTGAAACACTGTATCTACTAAAAACACAAAAACTAGCCAGGCGTGGTGTTGGGCAATGGTAAAATTGGGGCTTTTTAGTTCACACTTGTGAAATGTGTAAGTATTCAGGTATTATCTTAATTATTATATTATTATATTCACAATTTTTATAAAAGTATAGACTGTCTTCACAGTTTTGTTCTTAGATACTTTGTGTTTTTAATTGATGTTGTGGATTAAATTCTCTTTGATCACTTATTCCTGGGGAAGCCAGCTGCCATGTCCTGAGGCAGCCCTGTGGAGAAAACCCCATTGGAAAAAACTGAAGCCTGCAATGGCTACATGAGTAAACTTGGAAGCAGATCTTCTCCACCCCACCCTACCTCATGGGAAATCTTAAGTCAAGGCATACAGCTAAGCCATGCCCAGATTCCTGACCCACAGAAGCATAAGACAATAAATATTTGTTGTTTTAAGCTGCTATGTTTGGGGATGACTTGTTAAGCAAAATGAGAAAAATAATACAACAGGTGATTACAATGTGCAGCAGAGTTCAGGAACCACTGAACTAGACCAGTATGTGGTCTTAGAGAAGTCTAGTCTCTTCTTGAGCCCACAGGGAAATCTGTAGCATAAACTGTGCCATAGAGTTGTACAGCCGGAAGCAAATCTCACATCAGTCCGTCATTGGCAGATGCTGTCTGGAGGGAAAGTAGAGGGGTGCGCAACCTCTCTAGTATTCCCAGGTAGGTGCTTGTCAGCAGGACAAGGGTTCTAGAAACCTGCAGATATTAGCAGCCAACAAGAAGCACTGGGAGATGTGTTCATTGACCTGGTAAATGGATTCTGGCAGGAGCACCAAAAGCATTTTTACACAGGATATACTTCACACTTTATAAAGTAAATGTAGAAGAGATGAGGTGAAATTCTGGATAAGATATGCCAATAGAAGGTATTCTGAGCAGGAGCCTCCCCATTCCTCATGGGTGTCATCAACCACTCCAGAAATGTTCTCATTTGCCTTTGTAACTTAGGTGGCCACACTTGTTTTTTTGGGCAGACAACTCTGTTCCTTCCTTCCTTCCTTACTTATTTACTCAAGAGGTAGGAAATGTGTGGAAGGTAGATTTGTCTGACCATTCTTACAGTGCTACTCCAAATAATAGACTATTTGGTTTCCCCGGAGGTCTCTCCTGCTCCCAGCATCTGTCATTTCAGGGCTTGGACCACTTTTAGAAGCACATGTATCTTTTGAGGCAATCTTATTTACACACATTTTGGTTTATGGTTTCCTTTTTTCAATGCTAAATTGTCTGTCTCTTATCTTTCTGGCATATACTTAGTTTCTTGTCCATTGATGATTCACCTTTTGCTTTCTAGTTAGGTTATGAATTTTTCTATGACCTTTACATCTTCACTTCAAAGGATTTAGGAATAGAGGGAGAGGCTGCAACCTGTGCTCAGCCCAACATTTTAAACCACGTCTGTATAAAATTTTAGCCAGCACTAAACAATGCATGAAAAGTTTTATCACCATTAAATTGCATTCACTCAAATTTGAAATTCTTCTAAACAATGTTTGTTATACATTTATTATAAACTATTTGTACTTATAAAACACTACTTGATTAAAAAGATGCTTTTAAATTAATTTTCATTCTTTCTTTCAGTTTTGTTCTAGGTGCTGTCTCTCTTGCTGTTGTTGTCCTTTACACGATGGTGTTGCAAGAAAATGGATATGGTGTTGAGGAAGACATTCCAACCTTACTAATGGCTGCTAGCAGTATGGATGACATTCTGGCTATCACTGGATTCAATACATGCTTGAGCATAGTCTTCTCCTCGGGTAAACAAGAAAATATAACAACCACCAGATCATTCATGACCTTTTTTGTTAGTTCTTTAAACAGGGTTTCTGGCTTTGCTTCTTCATTTATTAACCAAGACTGTTCAATTTAACATCTTTTTAATCTCCATAGAAAGCTCATTCCAGACCAAGGAAGATATTTCAGTGGCTTAAGATACCACTACTTAACACACATGATCTCACTTTAATAATCATGTGACAATTAATTTGATAAACCATATTATTTCTATTTATCTGCTTATGTTGCTTTTGAATTTTATCAGTTCTCATTAGAAAAAATTAAGCAGCAGTATTATTTGTACTACTAATATTTTAATAGGCATTTTTGAAATGTGCCTTTTTGGCCATCCTAATAAACAAATGGTTGCTCTATCATAAGACGACATAAACATACAGAGCTGGGACAGCCATATGCCTTTTTGGTAGTGTTAGGACAAGATCCTGCACCAGTTCTGATTCCCAAGGTGATATCTGGTCTTGAATATCACTACAGAAATTGTGAAACTAAATATTTCCACATTAAGTAATGCTTTAATTATCTGCAATGTTTGAGTCTTCTGTATTACTGAAGCACTAAACTATTTTTAAGTTGAAAAGTAATATATATAGTTTTATAGTTTCTCTTAAAATAAGAAAATATAAATAAATAAGAAAAAGAGGAAAAGTTAAAAATAAAATCTGCAATAGTCACATCCAGAAGAAAAGAATCATTTCCTTCTGAACCTTTTGATATAAACCCACCCATATTCCCTTCCCTTCCCTTCTTCCCTTCTTCCCTTCCCTTCCCTTCCCCTCTCTTCCCCCTTCCCTTCCCTTACCCCTCTCTCTGTCAAATATTCTTATAAAAATCAGTGAATATTGACCAATATGTTCTTTTATTTTTTTTTTTGAGGCGGAGTCTTGCTCTGTCACCCAGGTTGGAGTGCAGTGGCACAATCTCAGCTCACTGCATGCTCTGCCTCCCGGGTTCATGCCATTCTCCTGCCTCAACCTCCAAAGTAGTTGGGACTCAGGCGTCTGCCACCATGCCCGGCTAATTTTTTTTGTGTTTTTAGTAGATCCAGGGCTTCAACATGTTAGCCAGGATGGTCTTGATCTCCTGACCTCGTGATCCTCCTGCCTCGGCCTCCCAAAGTGCTGGGATTACAGGCTTGAGCCATCGCACCCAGCCTAATATGTTCTTATAACCTGAATTGTTTTACACTTAACTGTATATCACAAACATGTTTCTTTTCAGTAAATGTGTTTGTATATCATTTTAAATAGTTGTTTAGCTTAATGAAAGAGTATTCAATGTGCTGCATCATGATTACTCATCCTGTTCAAAATTAAAGTTAACTCCAATATTTGCTATTAAAATAATGCTTAGTTGTGCTGCTATAAAAATATTTTTTTAAATTAAAAAATTGGCCGGGCATGGTGGCTGACACCTATAATCCCAGCATTTTGGGAGGCCAAGAAGGGTGGATCACTTGAGGTCAGGAGTTCAAGACCAGCCTGGCCAACCAACATGGTGAAACCCCGTCTCCACTAAAAATACAAAACTTAGCCGGGCATGGTGGTGGGCATCTGTAATCCCAGCTACTCAGGAGGCTGAAGCAGAAGAATCACTTGAACTCAGGAGGCGGAGGCTGTAGTGAGCTATCCAGCCTGGGCAACAGAGTGAGACCCTGTCTCAAAAAGTTTTTCTTACTTAAAAAAATAATACTTAGTTGAACATATAGAGAAATATTTGTACCTAATCTTCATATTTTCTTAAGCTTAAAAGTGTAATTGTTGATCTAAAAGGTGTATACGTTTATGAGTGTTCTGAAACATATTGCCACAATATCATGTCCTACCAGGGTACATAAACTTGTCATTTCCTCTCACCTCTCTTCAAAATTTGGTATTACTAGCCTTTTTCATCTTTGCTAATTTGATAGGTGAAGGAGGGATCTCTGTAAATGAAGTACTTTGAATACTAGTGATGTTAAATATCCATGTTTATTAGTCATTGGCATTTTGTAAACTGCTTTTCTTGAAAGTTTTCTGCCTACTTCTTTTAGGTGGGTTCACCTTTTGTTCTTTTTGATTTGTCAAGATTCTGCATTAAATTGAGAATGAAAACCTTTGTTTTATATACTTTAGTTTTTTCAATTTGTAATTTGGCTTTTAATTTTCTCACCCTTTTTACCATTCAGAAGTTAAAGTTTTTTATTGTCAATTGTCAAAATCTTTTCCTTCATGATTGGTATCTGTCATTCTTTCAAAAATATTGTTATCAGTCATGTTTCAAAAAAATATTTCCAGGCTGGACCCAATGGCTCATGCCTATAATCCCAACACTTTGGGAGGCCAAAGCGGGTGGATCACTTGAGGACATGAGTTCAAGACCAGCCTGGCCAACATAGCAAAGCTCCATCTCCACTAAAAATACAAAAAGTTAGCTGGGTGTGGTGGCACAGGCCTGTAATCCCAGCTACTCAGGGGGCTGAGGCACAAGAATCACTTGAACCCAAGAGGCAGAGGTTGCAGTGAGCCAAGATCACACCATGGCACTCCAGCCTGGGTGACAGAGGGAGACTGTCTGAAAAAAATAAAAAAAAAAATCCTCTTCCTTTTGCTGGCTACTATGCCAAACACTGAGAATGAACAGTAGGCAACAACATTAGCTTTTATTGAATACTTGCTTGGCTCTTGTTCTAAGTTCCATATATGTCACCACTCATTTACAGGTAAGGAAACTGAGAAAGATGTTAAATAATTTACTCAAGGACAGAGATCCAATAAGTAGGGGAGCCAAGATGCAAATCTGACAGTCTCACTCCACACCCACACATTTAACTCTTCTCTTCTCCACTGCCTCCCAACACAACAGAGAGACAAGATCAAATGGTGCATGTTCTCAACGAGCTTGTATATTAAAGAAAAATTACAAATGGGATGAATATTACATTGTGTAGGTTAATATTAAGTAAGTGTCAACTTGATTGGATTGAAGGATCCAAATTATTGTTCCCGGTTGTGTCTGTGAGGGTGTTGCCAAAGGAGATTAACATTTATTTAGTGGACTGGGAAAGGCAGATCCACCCTCAATGTGGGTGGGCACCATAAAATCAGCTGCCAGCATGGCTCGAATAAAGCAGGCAGAAGAAGGTTAGGAGAAGCTGACTTGCTGAGCCTTCTGGCCCTCATCTTTCTCCCATGCTGGATGCTTCCTGCACTCAAATATCAGACTCCAGGTTCTTTGGCTTTTGGACTCTTGGGCTTACTCCAGTTGTTTTCCAGGGGCTCCCAGGCCTTCATCCAGAGACTCAAAGCTGGCCTGTCGGTTTCCCTACTTTTGAGGTGTTGGGACTCGGACTAAGCCAATACTAGATTCCTTGCTCCTCAACTTGCAGACGGCCTGTTGTAGGACTTCACTTTGTGATGGTGTGATTCAATTCTCCTTAATAAACTCCCTGTCATATATATATATGTATGTGTATATATATATGTATGTATATATATGTATATATATATATGTATGTATATATATGTATGTGTATATATATATATGTATGTGTATATATATATATATCTCCTACTAGTTCTATCCCTCTAGAGAACCATGGCTAATACAGATTTTGATACTGAGGTAATGGAGTATTGCTATAAGATACCTAAGAATGTGGAAGTGACTTTGGAACTGTGTAATATGCAGAGTTTGGAACAGTTGAGAGGACTCAGAAGAAGACCAGAAGATGTGGGAAAGTTTGGAACTGCCTAGAGACTTGTTGAATGGCTTTGACCAAACTGCTGATAGTGACTTGGACAGTGAAGTCCAGGCTGAGGAGGTCCGAGATGGAGATGAACAACTTGTTGAGAACTGAAGTAAAGGTCACTCCTGCTATGCTTTAGCAAAGAGAATGGTGGCATTTTGCCCCTGCCCTACAGATTTATGGAACTTTGAAAATGAGAGAGATGACTGAGGACATCTGGTAGAAGAAACGTTTGTTGTTGTTGTTGTTGTTGTTATACCTTAAGTTCTAGGGTACATGTGCACAACGTGCAGGTTTGATACATAGGCACACATGTGCCATGTTGGTTTGCTGCACCCATCAACTCATCATTTACATTAAGTATTTCTCCTAATGGTCTCCCTCCCCCAGCCCTCCACCCCCCAACAGGCCCCAGTGTGTGATGTTCCCAGCCCTGTGTCTAAGTGATCTCATTGTTCAATTCCCATCTATGAGTGAGAACATGCGGTGTTTGGTTTTCTGTCCTTGTGATAGTTTTGCTGAGAATGATGGTTTCCAGCTTCATCTATCTCCCTGCAAAGGACATGAACTCATCCTTTTTTATGGCTGCATAGTATTCCATGGTGTATATGTGTCACATGTCTTAATCCAGTCCATCATTAATGGACATTTGGGTTGGTTCCAAGTCTTTGCTATTGTTAATAGTGCCGCAATAAACATACATGTGCATATGTCTTTATAGTAGCATGATTTATAATCCTTTGGATATATATCCAGTAATGGGATTGCTGGGTCAAATGGTAATTCTAGTTCTAGATCCTCGAGGAATTGCCACAATGTCTTTCACAATGGTTGAACTAGTTTACACTCCCACCAACAGTGTAAAAGCATTCCTATTTCTCCATATCCTCTCCAGCATCTGTTGTTTCCTGACTTTTTAATGATTGACATTCTAACTGGGGTGGGATGGTATCTCATTGTGGTTTTGATTTGCATTTCTTTGATGACCAGTGATGATGAGCTTTTTTTCTTGTGTCTGTTAGCTGCATAGATGTCTTCTTTTGAGAAGCGTCTATTCATATGTTTGCCCACTTTTTGATGGGGTTGTTTTTTTCTTGTAAATTTGTTTGAATTCTTTCTTTGTCAAATGGGTAGATTGCAATTTATCTCCCATTCTGTATGTTGCCTGGTTCACTCTGATGGCAGTTTCTTTTGCAGTACAGAAGCTCCTTAGTTTAATTAGATCCCATTTGTCAATTTTGGCTTTTGTTGCCATTGCTTTTGGTGTTTTAGTCATGAAGTCCTTGCTCATGCCTATGTCCTGAATGGTATTGCCTAGGTTTTCTTCTAGGGTTTTTATGGTTTTAGGTCTAACATTTAAGTCTTTTATCCATCTTGAATTAATTTTTGTATAAGATGTAAGGAAGGGATCCAGTTTCAGCTTTCTACATATGGCTAGCCAGTTTTCCCAGCATCATTTATTAAATAGGCAATCCTTTCCCCATTTCTTGTTTTTGTCAGGTTTGTCAAAGATCAGATGGCTGTAGATGTGTGGTCTTATTTCTGAGGCCTCTGTTCTGTTCCATTGGTCTATATATCTGTTTTGGCACCAGTACCATGCTGTTTTGGTTACTGTAGCCTTGTAGTATAGTTTGAAGTCAGGTAGTGTGATGCCTCCAGCTTTGTTCTTTTTGCTTAGGATTGTCTTGGCAATGCAGGCTCTTTTTTAGTTTCATATGAACTTTAAAGTAGTTTCTTTTTCCAATTCTGTGAAGAAAGTCATTAGAAGCTTGATGGGGATGGTATTGAATCTATAAATTACTTTGTGCAGTATGGTCTTTTTCATGATATTGATTCTTCCTATCCATGAGCGTGGAATATTCTTCCATTTGTTTGTGTCCTCTTTTAATTCATTGAGCAGTGGTTTGTAGTTCTCCTTGAAGAGGTCCTTCACAACCCTTGTGAGTTGGATTCCTAGGTATTTTATTCTCTTTGTAGCAATTGTGGATGGGAGTTCACTCATGATTTGGCTCTCTGTTTGTCTATTAATGGTGTATAGGAATGCTTGTGATTTTGGCACGTTGATTTTGTATCCTGAGACTTAGCTGAAGTTGCTTATCAGCTTAAGGAGATTTTGGGCTGAGATGATGGGGTTTTCTAAATATACAATCATGTCATCTGCAAACAGGGACAATTTGACTTCATCTTTTCCTAACTGAATACAATTTATTTCTTTCTCCTGCCTGATTCCACTTTTCAGAACTTCCAACACCATGTTGAATAAGAGTGGTGAGGGAGGGCATCCTTGTCTTGTGCCGGTTTTCAAAAGGAATGCTTCCAGTTTTTGCCCATTCAGTATGATATTGGCTGTGGGTTTGTCATAAATAGCTCTTATTATTTTGAGATACGTCCCATCAATACCTAGTTTATTGAGAGTTTTTAGCATGAAGGAGTGTTGAAGTTTGTCAAAGGCCTTTTCTGCATCTATTGAGATAATCATGTGGTTTTTGTCTTTGGTTCTGTTTATGTAATGGATTACGTTTATTGATTTGCATATGTTGAACCAGCCTTGCATCCCAGGGATGAAGCCCACTTGATCGTGGTGGATAAGCTTTTTGATGTGCTGCTGGATTTGGTTTGCCAGTATTTTATTGAGGATTTTCGCATCGATGTTCATCAGGGATATTGGTCTAAAATTCTCTTTTTTTGTTGTGTCTCTGCCAGGCTTTGGTACCAGGATGATGCTGGCCTCATAAAATGAGTTAGGGAGGATTCCCTATCGTTCTTTTTTTTTTTTTGGATGAAGAAAGAACTGTTTAATTTTTTTGATGTTTTCAATGTTGATATTTTTTCCAAGAATTAGAGAAATATCTCTGGATGGTTATCTAAAATTTATAATTTTTGTACAGATATGGTATGTAGGAGAGTGTCATAGTTTTTCTATTATTATACTTTAAGTTCTAGGGTACATATGCACAATGTGCCGGTTTGTTACATATGTATACATGTGTCATGTTGGTGTGCTGCACCCATTAACTCGTCATTTACATTAGATATATCTCCTAATGCTATCCCCCCCTCCCCCCACTCCATGACAGGCCCCAGTGTGTGATGTTCCCCACCCTGTGTCCAAGTGTTCTCATTGTTCAATTCCCACCTATGAGTAAGAACACGTGGTGTTTAGTTTTCTGTCTTTGCGATAGTTTTCTCAGAATGATGGTTTCTAGCTTCATCCATGTCCTTACAAAGGACATGAACTCATCCTTTTTATGGCTGCATAGTATTCCTTGGTGTATATGTGCCACATTTTCTTAATCCAGTCTATCGTTGATGGACATTTAGGTTGGTTCCAAGTTTTTGCTATTGTGAATAGTGCCGCAATAAACATATGTGTGCATGTGTCTTTATAGCAGCATGATTCACAATCCTTTGGGTATATGCCCAGTAATGGGATGGCTGATTGAAATGGTATTTCTTGTTCTAGATCCTTGAGGAATTGCCACACTGTCTTCTACAATGATTGAACTAGTTTACACTCCCACCAACAGTGTAAAAGTGTTCCTATTTCTCCATATCCTCTCCAGCACCTGTTGTTTCCTGACTTTTTAATGATCGCCATTCTAATTGGTGTGAGATGGCATCTGATTGTGGTTTTGATTTGCATTTCTCTGATGGCGAGTGATGATGAGCATTTTTTCATGTGTCTGTTGGCTGCATAGATGTCTTCTTTTGAGAAGTGTCTGTTCATATCCTTTGCCCAATTTTTGATGGGGTAGTTTGATTTTTTCATATAAATTTGTTTAAGTTCTTTGTAGATTCTGGATATTAGCCCTTTGTCAGATGGGTAGATTGTAAAAATTTTCTCCCATTCTGTAAGTTGTCTGTTCACTCTGATGGTAGTTTCTTTTGCTGTGCAGAAGCTCTTGAATTTAATTAGATCTCATTTGTCAATTTTGGCTTTTGTTGCCATTGCTATTGGTGTTTTAGTCATGAAGTCCTTGCCCATGCCTATGTCCTGAATGGTATTGCCTAGGTATTCTTCTAGGGTTTTTATGGTTTTAGGTCTAACATTTAAGTCTTTAATCCATCTTGAATTAATTTTTATATAAGGTGTAAGGAAGGGATCCAGTTTCAGCTTTCCACATACGGCTAGCCAGTTTTCCCAGCACCATTTATTAAATAGGGAATCCTTTCCCCATGTCTTGTTTATGTCAGGTTTGTCAAAGATCAGATGGTTGTAGATGTGTGGTATTATTTCCGAGGGCTCTATTCTGTTCCATTGGTCTGTATCTCTGTTTTGGCACCAGTACCATGCTGTTTTGGTTACTGTAGCCTTGTAGTGTAGTTTGAAGTCAGGTAGCGTGATGCCTCCAGATTTGTTCTTTTTGCTTAGGATTGACTTGGCAATGCAGGTTCCTTTTTGGTTCCATATGAACTTTAAAGTTGTTTTTTTCCAATTCTGTGAAGAAAGTTATTGGTAGCTTGATGGGGATGGCATTGAATCTATAAATTACCTTTGGCTGTATGGCCATTTTCACGATATTGATTCTTCCTATCCATGAGCATGGAATGTTCTTCCATTTGTTTGTGTCCTCTTATTTTGTTGAGCAGTGGTTTGTCGTTCTCCTTGAAGAGGCCCTTCACATCCCCTGTAAGTTGGATTCCTAGGTATTTTATTCTCTTTGAAGCAATTGTGGATGGGAGTTCACTCATGATTTGGCTCTCTGTTTGTCTGTTATTGGTGTATAAGAATGCTTGTGATTTTTGCACATTGATTTTGTATCCTGAGACTTTGCTGAATTTGCTTATCAGCTTAAGGAGATTTTGGGCTGAGATGATGGGGTTTTGTAAATATACAATCATGTCATCTGCAGACAGGGACAATTTGACTTCCTCTTTTCCTAGTTGAATACATTTTATTTCATTCTCTTGCCTGATTGCCCTGGCCAGAACTTCCAAGACTATGTTGAATAGGAGTGGTGAGAGAGGGAATCCTTGTCTTGTGCCAGGTTTCAAAGGGAATGCTTCCAGTTATTGTCCATTCAGTATGATATTGGCTGTGGGTTTGTCATAAATAGCTCTTATTATTTTGAGATACGTCCCATCAATACCTAGTTTATTGAGAGTTCTTAGCATGAAGGGCTGTTGAATTTTGTCAGAGGCCTTTTCTGCATCTATTAAGATAATCATGTGGTTTTTGTCTTTGGTTCTGTTTATATGATGGATTACGTTTATTGATTTGCATATGTTGAACCAGTCTTGCATCCTAGAGATGCCAACTTGATCATGGTGGATAAGCTTTTTGATGTGTTGCTGGATTCCGTTTGTTACTATCTTATTGAGGATATTTGCATCAATGTTCATCAGGGATATAGGTCTAAAATTCTCTTTTTTTGTTGTTGTGTCTCTGTCAGGCTTTGGTATCAGGATGATGTTGGCCTCATAAAATGAATTAGGGAGGATTCTGTCTTTTTCTATTGATTGGAAAAGTTTCAGAAAGAATGGTACCAGCTCCTCTTTGTACCTCTGGTAGAACTCAGCTGTGAATCCATCTGGTCCTGGACTTTTTTTTGGTTGGTAAGCTATTAATTATTGCCTCAATTTCAGAGCCTGTTATTGGTCTATTCAGAGATTCAACTTCTTCAAGTTTAGTCTTGAAAGGGTGTATGTGTCCAAGAATTTATCCATTTCTTCTAGATGTTCAAGTTTATTTGTGTAGAGGTGTTTATAGTATTCTCTGATGGTAGTTTTTATTTCCCTGGGCTCAGTGGTGATATCCCCTTTGTCATTTTTATTGCATCTATTTGATTCCTCTCTCTTTTCTTCTTTATTAGTCTTGCTAGCAGTCTATCAATTTTGTTGATCTTTTCAAAAAACCAGCTCCTGGATTCATTGCTTTTTTGAAGGGTTTTTTGTGTCTCTGTCTCCTTCAGCTCTGCTCTGATCTTATTTTTTGCCTTCTGCTAGCTTTTGAATGTGTTTGCTCTTGCTTCTCTAGTTCTTTTAATTTTGATGTTAGGGGGTCAATTTTAGATCTTTCCTGCTTTCTCTTCTGGGCATTTAGTGCTATAAATTTCCCCCTACACACTGCTTTAAATGTGTCCCAGAGATTCTGGTACATTGTGTCTTTGTTCTCATTGGTTTCAAAGAACGTCTTTATTTCTGCCTTCATTTTGTTATTTACCCAGTAGTCATTCAGGAGCAAATTGTTCAGTTTCCATGTAGTTGTTCAGTTTTGAGTGAGCTTCTTAATCCTGTTTGAATTTGATTGCACTGTGGTCTGAGAGACAGTTTGTTGTGATTTCTGTTCTTTTACATTTGGTGAGGAGTGCTTTACTTCCAATTATGTGGTCAAATTTAGAATAAGTGAGATGTGGTGCTGAGAAGAATGTATACTCTGTTGATTTGGGGTGGAGAGTTCTGTGGATGTCTATTGGGTCTGTTTGTTGCAGAGCTGAGTTCAGGTCCTGGATATCTTTGTTAACCTTCTGTCTTGTTGATCTTTCTAATATTGACAGTTGGGTGTTAAAGTCTCCCATTATTATTGTGTGGGAGTCTAAGTCTCTTTGTAGGTCTCTAAGGACTTGCTTTATGAATCTGGGTGCTCTTGTATTGGGTGCATATATATTTAGGATAGTTAGCTCTTCTTGTTGCATTGATCCCTTTACCATTATGTAATGGCCTTCTTTGTCTCTTTTGATCTTTGTTGGTTTAAAGTCTGTTTTATCAGAGACAAGGATTGCAACCCCTGCCTTTTTTTGTTTTCCATTTTCTTGGTAGATCTTCCTCCATCCCTTTATTTTGAGCCTATGTGTGAATTTGCGCATGAGATGGGTCTCCTGAATACAGCACACTGATGGGTCTTGACCCTTTATCCAATTTGCCAGTCTGTGTCCTTTAATTGGGGCATTTAGCCCATTTACGTTTACAGTTAATATTGTTATGTGTGAATTTGATCCTGTCATTATGATATTCGCTGGTTATTTGCCCATTAATTGATGCAGTTTCTTCCTAGCATTGATGGACTTTACAACTTGGCATGTTTTTGCACTGGGTGGTACCGGGTGTTTCTTTCCATGTTTAGTGCTTCCTTCAGGAGCTCTTGTAAGGCAGGCCTGGTGGTGACAAAATCTCTCAGCATTTGCTTGTCAGTAAAGAATTTTATTTTCTCCTTCACTTATGAAGCTTAGTTTGGCTGGATATGAAACTCTGGATTGAAAATTATTTTCTTTAAGAATGTTGAATATTGGCCCCCACTCTCTTCTGGATTGTAAAGTTTCTGCCAAGAGATCAGCTGTTAGTCTGATGGGCTTCCCTTTGTGGCTAACCTGACCTTTCTCTCTCGCTGCCCTTAACACTTTTTCCTACACTTCAACCTTGGTGAATCTGACAATTATGTGTCTTGGAATCGCTCTTCTCAAAGAGTATCTTTGTGTTTTTCTCTGTATTTCCTGAAGTTGAATGTTGGCCTGCCTTGCTAGGTTGGGGAAATTCTCCTGGATAATATCCTGAAGAGTGTTTTCCAACTTGGTTCCATTCTCCTCATCACTTTCCGGTACACCAATCAAATATAGATTTGGTCTTTTCACATAGTCCCATATTTCTTGGAGGCTTTGTTCATTTCTTTTTACTCTTGTTTCTCTAACCTTGTCTTCTCACTTTATTTCATTTATTTGATCTTCAATCACTGATACCCTTTCTTCCACTTGATTGAATCGGCTATTGAAGCTTGTGCATGAGTCATAAAGTTCTTGTGCCATGGTTTTCAGCTCCATTGGGTCACTTAAGGTCTTCTCTACACTGTTTATTCTTGTAAGCCATTCGTCTAATCTTTTTTCAAGGTTTTTAACTTCCTTGCAATGGGTTCCAACATCCTCCTTTAGCTCGGAGAAGTTTGTTATTACCAACCTTCTGAAGCCTACTTCTGTCAACTCGTCAAAGTCATTCTCTGTCCAGCTTTGTTCCATTGCTGACAAGGAGTGGTGATCCTTTGGAGGCGAAGAGGTGCTCTGATTTTTAGAATTTTCAGCTTTTCTGCTCTGGTTTATCCCCATCCTTTTGGTTTTATCTACCTTTGGTCTTTGATATTGTTGACCTACAGATGGGGTTTTGGTGTAGATGATCTTTTGTTAATGTTGACACTATTCCTTTCTGTTTTTTAGTTTTCCTTCTAACAGTCAGGACCCTCAGCTGCAGATCTGTTGGAGTTTGCTGGAGTTCCACTCCAGACACTGTTTGCCTGGGTATCACCAGTGGAGGCTGCAGAACAGCAAATATTGCAGAATAGCAAATAGTGCTGCCTGATCCTTCCTCTGGAAGCTTTGTCCAAGAGGGGCAGCTGCCTATATGAGGTGTCTGTCAGCCTCTACTGGGAGGTGTGTCCCAGTTAGGCTACACAGGGTTCAGGGACCCACTTGAGGAGGCAGTCTGTCCATTCTCAGAACTCAAACGCCATGCTGGAAAAACCACTGCTCTCTTCAGAGCTGTCAGACAGGGACGTTTAAGTCTGCAGAAGTTGCTGCCTTTTGTTCAGCTATCCCTGCCCACAGACGTGGAGTCTAGAGGCAATGGGCCTTGTTGAGCTGCGGTGGGCTCCACCCAGTTCAAGCTTCCCTGGCCGCTTTGTTTACCTACTTAAGCCTCAGCAATGGTTGACGCCCCTCCCCCAACCAGACTGCCACCTCGCAGATGGATTTCAGACTGTTTCGCTAGCAGTGAGCAAGGCTCCATGGCTGTGGGACCTACTGAGTGAGGCACAGGAGAGAATCACCTTGCCTGCTAGTTGCTAAGACCTTGGGAAAAGTGCAGTATTTGGGCGGGAGTGCCCTGTTTTTCCAGGTAGTCTGTCACAGCTTCCCTTGGCTGGGAAAGGGAAATCCCCCAACCCCTTGTGCTTCCCGGGTGAGGCGACGCCCCACCCTGCTTCAGCTCACCCTCTGTGGGCCTGCACCCACTCTCCAACCAGTCCCAATGAGATTAACCAGGTACCTCAGTTGGAAGTGCAGAAATCACCCGTCTTCTGTGTCGATCATGCTGGGAGCTACAGACCGGAACTCTTCCTATTTGGCCATCTTGGAACCCATCCAGGACATCTGGTAGAAGAAATTTGTAAGCAGCAAAGTGTTCAATTTATGACCTGAGTGTTCTTAAAAGTGTTCAGTTGTATGCATTCACAAAAATATGGTTTGGAATTAGAACCTATGTTTAAAAGGGAGCAGAGCATAAAAGTTTGGAAGATTTGCAGCCTGATGATGTGATAGAAAAGAAAACCCATTTTCTGGGGAGAAATTCAAGCTTACTGCAGAAATTTGCAGAAGTAACAAGGAGCCAAATGTTAATTGACAAGATAATGGGGAAATTTTCTCCAGGGCATGTCAGAGTTCTTCACGACAGCCCCTCCTGTCACAGGGTTGGAGGCCTAGGAGGGAAAAAATGGTTTTGTGGGCCAGGCCCAGAACTTTGCTGCTCTGTGCAGTCTTGGGACTTGGTGCCCTGTGTCCCAGCCATGGCTAAAAGGAGCCAACGTACAGCTCAGGCTATTGCTTCAGAGTTCAATCCCCAAGGCTTGGCAGCTTCCACGTAGTGTTGGGTTGATATGCTAGTTGGCCATTTGTATTTTTTTTTTTGGAAAAAATGTCTATTCAAGTCTATCTTAGTCCATTCCTGCTGCTATAACAAAATACCTTAGGCTGGTAATTTATAAACAACAGAAATTTATTTCTTGCATTCTGGAGTGTGAAAAGTCCAAGATTTAGGCTACAACAGACTCAGTGACTGGTGAGGTCACTATATTCACTATACATAGCACCTTCTCTGTGTCCTCACATGTTCAAAAGGGAAAACAAACTCCCTTAAGCCTCTTTTATAAAGGCCCTAGTCCCATTTCTGAGGGCTATGACTTCATGAACTAATCATCTCCAAAATGCCCCACCTCTTAATATTATCACATTGAATATTAGGCTCCAGCATATGAATATTGGGAGAACATTTGGACCATAGCAAAGTCAACTGACCATTTCTCATTTAGGTTGTTTTGTTATTGAGTTGTTGTTCTGTATATATTTTAGATATTAACCCTTATCAGGTATTTGGTTTGCTGGGAGGTTTTTGATTCCTGATTCAGTTACTAGTTATAGGTTTATTAAGATTTTTTATTTTGTGACTTAGTCTTGGTAACTTGCATGTTACTAGGAATCTGTTCATTTCTCCTAGGTTATCCAACTAGTCAGTATATAATAATTCATAGTAGACTCTTAGAATCGTTTTTATTTCTGTAAATATCTGTTGCAGTGTCTTCTCTTTTGTTCCTAAAAGAAGTTGAGTCTTCATTATTTTTTTTCTTAAATATTCTAGCTAATGATTTGTCAATTTTGTTGAACTTTGAAACGACTACTAGTTTCATTGGGTTTTTTCTATTCTCTAGCCTTTTTATTTTTTTTTTTTTGAGATGGAGTTTCACTCTTATTGCCCAGGCTGTAGTGCAATGGCATGATCTCCGCTTGCTGCAACCTCCACCTCCCAGTTCAAGTGACTCTCCTGCCTCAGCCTCCAGAGTAGCTGGGATTACAGGCATGCACCACCATGCCCGGCTAATTTTGTATTTTTTAGTAGAGACAGGTTTCTCCATGTTGCTGAGGCTGGTCTCGAACTCCTGACCTCAGGTGATCCACCTGCCTCAGCTTCCCAAAGTGCTGGGATTACAGTCGTGAGCCACTGCACCCGGCCTTCTGCTCTAGACTTTATTATTTCCTTCCTTTTGCTAACATTGGGTTGAGTTCTTCTTTTTCCAGTTTCTTGAGGTGTAAAGTTAAGTTGCTGATTTTAGATCTTTCTTCTTTTTTAAGGTAGGTAGTTAGATATATAAACTGTCCTCTTCATATTCATTTTGCTGCATCTCACAAGCTTTGGAATGTTGTGTTTCCATTTTTATTTGTCTCAAGACATTTTCTAATTTTCCTTGTGACTTATTCTTTGACTATGTATTAATCAGAGTTCTCCAGAGGGTCTGATCCAATAAGAAATATATATAGATATAGATATAGATATAGATATAGATATAGATATAGATAATAGATAATAGAGATACATATACATGCATCTAAAAGAGAATATATTTACATGTATATGAAATATGATTTATTAAGGAGAATTGGCTCACATAATTACAAAGGCAAAGTCCCACAATAGGCCATCTATAAGCTGGAAAATGAGAGAAGCTTACAACATGGCTCCCAAGGAAGCCAGTGACATGGCTCAGTCCAAATCTGAAAGTCTCAAAACCAGGGAAGCTGACAGTGCAGCCACTAGTCTGAGGCCCAAGGCCTGAGAGCTCCCAAAAGGCTGCTGATGCAAGTCCCAGGGTCCAAAGGCCAAAGAACCTAGAGTTTGATGTGCAAGGGCGAGAGGAGAAAAAGGCATACTGCTCTGGAAGAGAGAGAAAGTGTATAAAAAAGAAATCCAAGCAAGCTGAATGTTCCCATTCTTCTGCCTTTTTGTTCTAGTCACACTTGCAACCAATTGCATGATGCCTACCCACAGTGAGGATGGGTTTTTCTCTCTCAGTCCACTAACTCATCCATCATTCTCCTGTGGCAGCACCCTCACAGATATACCCACACACAGCGCTTCATCAGGCATCTGAGCATCCCTCAATCAAATTGACAATTAATATTAACCACACAGGCCAATTGGTAGAGAGTATATTTTTGTAATTTCCACATATTTATTACTTTTCCTTTTTCCTTCTGCTATGAATTTGTAATTTCATTTAATGTGGTCAGAAAAGATATTTGGTATGAGTTCAGTTTTCTTAAATTTTTAAAAACTTGTTTGTGGACTAGCATGCCATCTATCCTGGAAAAGTCTTGGTATGTACTTGAGAAGAAAGCATATTTTGCTATTATTGGGTGAAGTGTTCTGTATATGTCAGACAGGTCCAATTGGTCTACAATGTTGTTCAAGTTCTGTGTTTTCCAGTTGATCTTCTGTCTGGTTATTGTATCCATAATTGAAAGTGGAATATTGAAGTTTTCTGTTATTATGATGTTGTTATCTATGTTACCCCTCAATTCTGTCTACGTTAGCTTCATATATTTAGATGCTGTACTGTTAGTTGCATATACATTTATAATTGCTATATCTTCTTGGTCAATTGGCCCTTTTATTATTATGTAATATCCTTGTCTCTTGTGCTATTATTTGACTTAAACTCTATTTTGTCTAAGTATGGCCATCCTTGTTCTCTTTTGGTTACCAAATGCATTGAATATCTTTTTCCATCCTTTCACTTTCAACCTTTGTGTGTGTTTAGATCTAACATAAGTCTCTTGCATATAGTATATATTTAGATTTTTTTAATCCATTCGGCCAATTCTTTGTCTTTTGATTGGAAAATTAGCCTATTTGCATTTAAAGTAGTTACTGATAGGGAGGGGCTTACTATTGTCATTTTGTTCACTGTTTTATACATGTCTTGCAGGTATTTTTTTCCACTTTTCCTCTCTTTCTGCCTCCCTTTATGTTTCACTGATTTCTTTTTTTGGTAGGGACGTGCTTTAGTTCCTTTCTCATTTTTATTTGTGTATCTTCTGTAGGTCTTTTCTTTGTGGTTACTGTAGAATTACATGAAAACATCTTATAGTTATAATAATCTATTTTAAATTGACAACAACTTAACTTTAATAACATACAAAAACTCTACTTCTTTACACCTCCTTCTCACTTTGTTATCAATGTCACACAATATATATTTTATATTGTTTATTCACATAATTTAATACAGTAATATTATGCTTTTACCTTTTAAATTCTATGCTTCAATTAAAAGTGAATTACAGGCTGGGTGTGGTGTCTCACATCTGTAGTCCCAGAACTTTGAGAGGCCAAAATGTGAGCATCGCTTGAGCCTAGGAGTTTGAGACCAGCAAGGCCTTATCTCTGCTAAAAATTTAAAAATATTATCTGAGTGTGGTGGTGCATGTCTGTAGTCCCAGCCACTCAGGAGGCTGAGGTGGAAGGATTGCTTTAGCCTAGGACTGCAAGGCTGCAGTGAGCCATGATCAAACCACTGCACTCCAGCCTGGGCAGCAGAGCAAGACTTTGTCTCAAAAAAAAAAAAAAAAAAAGAAAAAAAAGTAAAGGAAAAAAATGTTTTGCTTACCACCATTAGAGTATTAAAGGATTCTATGTTCACTCATATATTTACCTTTACCAAAGAAGTTTATATTTTGTATGCTTTTGTATTTCTATCCAATGCCTTTTCATTTCCACTTGGAGGACTCCCTTTAACGTTTTTTGTAAGGTAGGCCTAGTGGTGATCAACTCCCTCACCTTTTACTTCTCTGGGGAACTCTTCATTTTTGAAGTACAGTTTTACTGGCTATACAGTTCTTGGTTGACAGTTTTTTTTTTCTTTCAGCCCTTTTAATATATCATCCCATTCTCTTCTGGCCTGTAGAGTTTTTGCTGAGAATTCCATTGATAACCATATGGAATCTCCCTTGTATGTGACAAGTTGCTTTGATCCTGTTCCTTTCAAAATTCTAATGTGTCTCATTGTAGGTCTTTTGCAAATTATCCAACTTGGAGTTCTTTGAGCCTCTTGGATTTGTATGTCCATTTCCTTCTTTAAGTTTGAGAAGTTTTTGGTCATTACTTTTTTAACTGGCTCTCTGCCCCTTTATTTTTCTCTTCTCCTTCTGGCACTTTCATAATGCATACATTGGTCTGCTTGATGGCATCCTGTAAGTCTCTTAGGCTGTCTTCACTCTTCACTCCTTTTCCCTTTTGCTCCTCTGACTCCATAATTTCAAATGACTAGTCTTCCGTTTCACTGATTCTTTCTTCTGCTTGATGTTATTGAAACTGCCTTTGCAAAAATTATAACTGAAGAAATTATGACAGCAAAAGATATCAGACTTAATCAACTGCATCTTGCTTCTAGCATTTAAACTGCCCTTGTTCATTCCTGGCAGTAGGATGAACTAATTTTGGTAAGGTATTCAGTTCATGGTTTGACTCTCAAACCAAGTTGATAATAGCCATTTCCCAAAAAGATCCCCTTCTTGCCTGGAACCAGTCTGCCTTTGCGGGATAAACAAATTAGCTATAACATTAGAAATTACAGTTGAGGGGTTATGCAGCCTCTGGCTCCAAGAGTCTGAACCTCTCCAAATTGCTCCTGGGGATAACATCACTATTGTAAAACCTAAAATCAGTGCTTGAGATATTTTGCAGACCCTGCACTGGATGAACCAGCTGACACCACCCAGACTGGTAATATGGCTCAACTAGTTCTGCCACCCCACCCACAAACAGAAGACAGCAAGAAAACATCATCACTTCAACCCCGTATGATTTCATCTCCAGCCTGATGAATAAGCAGTTCCCACTTCCCAAGCCCCTACCTGCCAAATTATCTTTAAAAGTTCTGATCCCCGAATGCTCAGGGAGACTGATTTGAGTAATAATAAAACTCTGATCTCCCGCACAGCCAGCTCTGCCTGAATTACTCTTTCTCCATTGCAATTCCCCTGTCTTGATAAATCAGCTCTGTCTAAGCAGGGCACGAGGTGAACCCATTGGGCAGTTACACAGTCTATTGGTGATTTCCGATAGTGAATTTTTCAATTGAGCTATTGTATGACTTAGCTCCAGAGTTTCTGTATGGTTCCTTTTTGTTTTTTTTTTTTTTTTAAGTTTCTATCTCGGTTAATATTTTCATTTTGTTCATGAATTATTTCCTGCTTTCACTTAGTTGTCTATTTCTGTTGTCACTGGGCTTCATTAAGAGAGTTAATTTGTATTCTTTGTCAGGTAACTCATTTACCTATTTCTTTAGGGTTGGTTTCTGGAGATTTATTTTGCTCCTTTAATTTAGTCATCAGGTTTCTCTCTTTCTTCTTATGTCTTGTTATTTTTTATTTTTTATTTATTTTTGCCAATATTTGGGCGTTTGAAAAAACTGCCACTTCTCCCAGTTTTTATCAGCTGGCTTCATACGGAAGACCTTCATACCTGAATCAGCATGGCTATAGGTTCCAGCAGCCTCTCAAACTCTTTCTGGGAATGCATCTTCTTTGGGTTTATACATTGCAACATCCCAAGTAGAGGTTTGCCAGTTTCTTTTTCTGGAGCTGTTGCTCCTTCTGGTATCTGTCTGTGGTACTGCAGGTTCCCTGGTGCTGCATCATCTCTGACCTCTCCTTTATTCCCAGTGGCTCCCATGCATCCAAAGTATGCCAGTTGGGCGTCAAGTTAGAGAGAGTGAGAGAGCTTCAGGTAACCTCATAAAACTATTCCGTTTCAGTCTTCTCTTTCCCTGCTAACGGAGAAGCTGCAAGTTGAGTGCTTCCCAGCCAAACCAACCTGTTTGAGCTTGGGGAAGGGGTATCATCAGTATAATGCAACAGCTTTTCTTATCTGTTCAATGCCACTATTCTTGGCTTTGCACTTGTCTGTACTACTACAACTTCTTAATGGTTTATGGAACTCCATAAAGGCTTTTAGACCATATATTGTTTTTCAGTTGGTATCTTTATGGAGAATCAAGGTTTGGAGCTTCCCATTCCACCATCTGGCTGACATCACTCTGTTTATATTATTTTTTATTTTTATTATATTTTATTTTCTTGAGACAGGATCTTGCTCTGTCAGCCAGGCTAGAGTGCAGCCTCGAACTCCTGATCTCAAGGGACCTCCTCCCTCAGGCTACTGAGTACTTGGACTATAGGCACACACCACATACCAGGCTAATTTCTTATTTTCTTGTGAAGATGGGGTTTCACTCTGTTGCCCAAGTTGGTCTCAACTCTTGGGCTCAAGCAATCCTTCTGCCTTGGCCTCCCAAAGTGCTAGGATTAAAGGTGTGAGCCCACCATGTACTGCCTGTTATATTTAGTAGAAAATATATCTAAAAATATACTTACGTACTATATTGAATCCACTACCCAGAGCTTAACTGAACTATTTGTGTGACTCATTCTGTTTTTTTATTTTTTGCTTTTTACTTATTACAATGAACTACAAGTATGGATATATTAATATTAATTAATATAAAATATACTGGAATATTTTGTATTTTTTTTTCTTTTTTCTTCAACAAAAGCAGAAACTTAAATACACTGAAATCTTAAATGACCCTTGAATGTTTCTAGGACTGACCCTGGAACAAAATTTTTTATGTTGTTATTACATTGTTCTTTTCATGTTAAAATCATTTGTTTTTTTTCATATAGTGCGTCAAAGAAGAATTGTTAATATAGCCCTTACCAGCCATATGCTAAGTGCCACAGGTGTTTCGGTCTCTCTCCATTCTTGTACCTCACTTAGTCTTTTTTTTTTTTCTTTTGGAGGTGTAGCCTCAGTCTTTCACCCAGTCTGGAGTGTGGTGGCACGATCTCAGCTCACTGCAACCTCTGCCTCCCGGGTTCAAGTGATTCTCCTCCCTCAGCCTCCTGAGTACCTGGGACCACAGTTGTGTGCCACCATGCCGACCTAATTTTTGTATTTTTAGTAGAGATGGGGTTTCATTATGTTGGCCAGGCTGGTCTTGAACTCCTGACCTCATGTAATCCACCCTCCTCAGCCTCCCAAAGCGCTGGGATTACAGACATGAACCACTGCGCCTGGACTACCTCAATCTGTCTTTTAAATTGGCTATGTAAGGGGAGCATCTTGTGCTTGTTAAGTCTTTGTTTTCTGGCCTATTTATATAATGAACATTTCTGAGTTGTGTGTATATATTAAATTATTTGAGAGTATATAGTTAATGTACTAAATAGATCTATGTGTTTTCATACATGTCACTATAAAAAGACCATTTGCACATATTTGTTCTATCAAATGCTTACTTTTCTTCATGAACCACCTAGATTTGCTTTTCTGATGTGTAGTGTATGTGAAAATATTTCTTTGTGAATTTTTTTTTTATTGTGTGCCCCTGCAGGTGGTATGCTTAATAATGCCATAGTCTCTATAAGGAACGTATGCATTAGTCTGCTGGCAGGAATTGTTTTGGGATTTTTTGTTCGATATTTTCCAAGTGAAGACCAAGTAAATACAAAATCTATTTTATAGAAGTATAGTATTAGACATTTTTTTCAAAATATTAAACTTTGGTAAGATCCATGAAATTTAATACTTAACTCTATTTTTCTAAAACTAGCCTCCAATGCCTACTCTGTATTTAAAACTGAGCACAGCAGTGATTGATACAGGTCAATGGCTTTGATTAAAGTCTCTGCTTCCTGATTTGGCAAATAAGGAATGTCAAAAAATATACTTGATGCAGAGTATCCCTCTGAATTATACTTTCCCTTTCTCTACTAAATTGCCTATTGATGTTTGATAATTTCCCCTTAAACATTTTAGGGGGAGATAGGTTCCCATTTATTTCTGCATATTTTCTGACTGAAATTCACTCCTGCTATCCTTTGACAAAGGCAACACTCAAACTTAGCCATTTCCTGCCTTAAAGGAAAACATGACATTACTTTTGTATTTCTGTAATTTCCATCCAAATTTAGCTGTAGCATATTGACCAAAGAGTAATTCAAATATTTTTTAAGAATTC